>NW_011332698.1:0-206320 GCF_000001405.40 Homo sapiens
AGGCTCCTCTCGTCCTCGTAGCCTAGTGGTCTCTCAATAGCTTTACAAAGGCTGTTGAGTTTTGCGGAAGGGTTATTATCATTTAAGCTATAAACTAAATGTCTCCCAGAGTTAGCTTGGCCCAAGCCCAGGAATAATTAAGGGCAGTTTGAAGGCTAAAGGCAAGATGGGAGTTGGTTACCTCGGGTCTCTTTCACTGCCATAATTTTTCCACTGTTATAATTTTTGCAAAGGTGGGTTCATGCCTGTGGCATCCCCGGTCCGAGGCTACAGGACTCTCCTCCCAGGGATCCAAGTGACTGTGCAGTGACCGTGGTCACGCCACAGCCACCAGCCAGAGTGCAGTCCACATCGTGGCCACGTATGGCTCCTACAATCTCAAGCTTGCCGAGAAGGCAGCCGTAAACCCGCACAGGTTAGAGTCCTTTCCCTTGGTTATGGTAACAATCATTAGCACTGGGGTCTTTCCGAATCCAGATGCAGCCACGACCTCTTCTCATACACAGCTGCAGGTGAGATGAACATCTCAGTAGCGTTGTAAACCAAAAGGCGTCTGAGATAAGGCTCAGTCAATTTAGGAAGTTTATTTTGCCAAAGTTCAGGACGCACCTGTGACACAGCCTCCGGAGGTCCTGACAACATGCCTGAGGTGGTCGGCGCAGAGTTTGGTTTTACATATTTTAGGGAGACATGAGACATCAACATACATCGGATGAACGCTGGTTCGGTCCGGAAAGGCGGGACAGATGGAAGCAGGGAGGAGGCTTCCAGGTCGTAGGTAGATAAGAGACAAACGGTTGCACTCCTGAGTTTCTGATTAGCCTTTTACGGAATGCACAATTTACAGGAATGGTCACTCATGCCTGAGTCTGGCTCAGTGAAATGAGGGCAGAGGAAGTGATCAGCTGTGTGCGTTTGTCTCACGGGAGCAGTGGGGTGACTTTGAGTTCTGTCTGTGCTTTGTCCACAAGGAATTTCTTTGTGGGCAAATCGTGAGGCAGGCGTGTAGCTTTTTAAAATCTTTGTAGTTCCCTTACTCAGGAATAGAATGGGAGGCAGGTTTGCCTGGCACAGTTCCCAGCTGGACTTTTCTCTTAGGCTCAGCGATCTGGGGTCCCGAGAATGATTTTCCTTTCACAAGATGAACATGCAGCTCAAAGGGGGAGTGGGATGTGGTTGCGGCCTCAACTGAACGCCTCTCTGGACCCAATAATTAAAAGGACTTGCTCCTCAGATAAAAGTGCTTTTCTTTTCTCAATAGTGAGTCTATGAGGTTCCTATCTGCTGCTTTAACAGATTACCACAAACCTAGTGGCTTCCAACAGCTCAAATGTATTATCTTACAGTCCTGGAGGGGAAAGTGTGAAAAGGGCCTCAGGGTGCTGAAGGCAGGGCTGGCAGGAGCCTGGTGGAGAAGCCACTGCTTTCTTTTCTCAGCCTCCAGAGACGGCAGCAGCCTTGGCCCACGGCCCATCTTCAAACCCAGCATCTTCAAATTGCTCTCTCTTTGACCCGCCCACCTGCCTCTAAGGAGCCCAGACCTTACGCTGGGTCCAGCAGCCTCTCCATCCTCCCTAAACTCCAGGAGCACCCACCGAATAATCCAAGGCTATCTCCCGACTTGGGATTCCTAACCTAGTTCCCCCTGCAAGGTTGCCCTGTTCAAGCGTCCTGGGGGTTCAGCCTCCGACGTCTTTGGGAGGGGCCCTTGCTGTGCCCACCACTGGGAGTCGCTCCCTTCCACACGTCCGCCGTGAACTTTCCATTCCAGAAACACTGCACCAGCTGTAGCTTCTCTCAACACACAGCTCTTTCCTGTCTCCAGGTTTTGCTCAAACTTCCCACTGCCCAGCACGTCCTTCCAAACAGCCTTCACTCACTCTCAATCCCTATGGAAAACTCAGCTTGGGCCTCACGCCCAGGAAGCCTCCTGGCCCCAGGAGGCTCAGGCCCTGCTGTGCACACCACAGCACCTGCGGCCTCCCTGGGAACCCAGCCACCCCCACCCCAGGCCCACGTTTCCTCAGCCAGCTCCTCCCACGATCCCTTCCAAGCTGGCATTCCAGACCCGCCAGGTGCCTTTCACCCTGTTGTAAACTCCGGGAGGGCAGAATTCAGGTCGGACTCATCTCTGTGGCCTCAGTGGAACTTGCTCAGCTCAGGGTCAGGGACAACAGCGTCCGGCTTCTCACTCCTTCAGGTCCCGGCCCTTTGCACATAGGCTTGGCTGCCTGACACGTTCCAGCCAAGGGCTGCAGCTGGCCCCTTCCCCCCGCCCCGGTGATGCCAGAAGCCACATGTTCCGGAGTGTGGAGCTGCAAGATGCAGGCAACCCAGAGCCAGAAGGGGACCACCCGATGGGGAGGACAGAGACCACCCGATGGGGAGGATGCAGACCACCCGATGGGGAGGACAGAGACCACCCGATGGGGAGGACGCAGACCACCCAACGGGGAACACGGGGATCACCCAACTGGGAAGATGGGGGCCACCTGGACGGGGGGAACGGGGACCACGTTGATGGGGAGGACAGAGACCACGTGGATGGGAAAGATGGGGACCACGTGGATGGGGAGGGCGGCACCACTCAGCCTGGTTCACACCTTTTGCAATAAGCAGCCGCCTCCTCCTGGGCTTTGGGCTGAAGGGGGACCTGCTCCAGGTTCTTAGCCGTGAAATGGGCACAGACCCGTTTCTCACCCCTGACAGGGAGGCTGTCCAGCCCTGGAGATGTTGTCACTCAGGCTCCCAGTGACCTCCTGTGCGCTGTGTATCCTGGGCCAGGGCACTGACCTCTCTGGGCCCAGCGCCATCTCATGCTCACAGGTCTGATGACAATACTTCTCAGGAGGTGCTGGGAAGGCCAAAGGGATCATCCCATGTGCTTCTAAGTCAAACACGATTCAGCGTGAAAAACACTGGCCTGGGTCATCAAGAAACCGGGTGCCAGGCAGGATGAAAGGAAGTGCCGCTGGCCTCATCTGAGCCAGAGCCTCCTGTCTGTCATGTGTGTGGGCTCTGACGCAGGGGGACCAGGATGCCCGGGTGGCAGCCGTGATCAGGGGAGGCATTCGGGCCACCTCAGAGGCCCCAAGAGGCTACCTGCCTGCCTGGCCCTGCCCATGCGGCCAAAGTCCACCCCAGGGGCGGGGGCTGCGCCTCGGCCTCAGATGCACCGTCAGCCGCATTTGGCTCCTCTTACTACTGAAGAGGGGAAGGAAGAGTGTGCAGCAGGGGCCTGGGCCGTTTCCCCGGAAGCGAAGAGCAGGAGGCCAGAGCCAGGTGGGCTCCCCTAGACCCTGCGGTGCTGCCGCCAAGCCCCCCACCCCCAGATGAGCCAGCCTGCAGCACACACTGGCGGGGTGGATGCCAGCCGAGTATTCCCAGGGGAAGCACTTTCCCTGTGCCACCCAGACAGAAGACGCAGGTGCTGGTTTCCTATGGGGCTCTGCGTGAGGATGGGCGTCTGGGACCCTGGTCTCCTCTAGGACTCCATGTGTGAGGCTGGGCATTCGAGACCCTGGTCTCTGGGACTCCATGTGTGAGGCTGAGCGTTCGAGACCCTGGTCTCTGGGACTCCATGTGTGAGGCTGAGCGTTCGAGACCCTGGTCTCTGGGACTCCATGTGTGAGGCTGAGCGTTCGAGATCCTGGTCTCCTCTGGGACTCCGTGTGTGAGGCTGAGCGTTCGAGACCCTGGTCTCTGGGACTCCATGTGTGAGGCTGAGCGTTCGAGATCCTGGTCTCCTCTGGGACTCCGTGTGTGAGGCTGAGCGTTCGAGACCCTGGTCTCTGGGACTCCATGTGTGAGGCTGAGCGTTCGAGACCCTGGTCTCTGGGACTCCATGTGTGAGGCTGAGCGTTCGAGATCCTGGTCTCCTCTGGGACTCCGTGTGTGAGGCTGAGCGTTCGAGACCCTGGTCTCTGGGACTCCATGTGTGAGGCTGAGCGTTCGAGACCCTGGTCTCTGGGACTCCATGTGTGAGGCTGAGCGTTCGAGATCCTGGTCTCCTCTGGGACTCCGTGTGTGAGGCTGAGCGTTCGAGACCCTGGTCTCTGGGACTCCATGTGTGAGGCTGAGCGTTCGAGACCCTGGTCTCTGGGACTCCATGTGTGAGGCTGAGCGTTCGAGATCCTGGTCTCCTCTGGGACTCCGTGTGTGAGGCTGAGCGTTCGAGACCCTGGTCTCTGGGACTCCATGTGTGAGGCTGAGCGTTCGAGATCCTGGTCTCCTCTGGGACTCCGTGTGTGAGGCTGAGCGTTCGAGACCCTGGTCTCTGGGACTCCATGTGTGAGGCTGAGCGTTCGAGACCCTGGTCTCTGGGACTCCATGTGTGAGGCTGAGCGTTCGAGATCCTGGTCTCCTCTGGGACTCCGTGTGTGAGGCTGAGCGTTCGAGACCCTGGTCTCTGGGACTCCATGTGTGAGGCTGAGCGTTCGAGACCCTGGTCTCTGGGACTCCATGTGTGAGGCTGAGCGTTCGAGATCCTGGTCTCTGGGACTCCATGTGTGAGGCTGAGCGTTCGAGACCCTGATCTCCTCTGGGACTCCATGTGTGAGGCTGGGCATTCGATACCCTGGTCTCTGGGACTCTGTGTGTGAGGCTGGGCGTCTGAGACCCAGGAACGTGCTGGAAACAGGAGCTGTTGACATCGTTTCCCAGGCTGGGCTGCTGCTGTTTCTCTGCCTGTCAGATGGAGACACAGTTCCAGCCTCGCAGGTGGCCTTCAGCACAGCACGCCAGGCACCCTGGGTGCTGCCCCCACTCTCCCCACCCAGAAGGCAGCTGCGCAGGGTCCCTGGCCTGGAGGACCTGCCTGGACCTGCCCAGCGCCCTGGACGAGGTCTGCCCTAGGCCTCCGCATGTCACCTGTCCTCTGAGCAGTTCCTGCCACTGCTTTACTCTCACCGCCTTCCTCTCCCCTTAGCACTTTACCTCCAAATGGGCTGTCCTTGCCGGCGGCTGACTCATTGCTCCTCCAGAGCAGGGAAGTTTGCAATGAGCTGAAGTCCTGTGGAGCCCAGAGCCGGAGGCTCACCCCCAGATTTAATTAATTAAAAAGTAAGAGCTTGTGAAGGTCACAGGGGCCAACATGAAGAGCTGCCAAAGGCCGATCATGGTGGCATGAGCAACAAAACGCACAGAGGCCGTGCTGATTGCAAACCACAGAATCCACTACTGTGGTCACTGACCTACACTTTTCACAAACCACAGAATACAATAGACGCATATGAGTTCTGCTGCTGTCGCCACTGGCCGGGTCAACACGCAGCCCGGGAGGAGGGACCCACTGCTCTTCCCTGCAGGAGAACCTCGATGGATAAATGCCTGAGGAAATGGGGAAACAGAAAATCACCACGAGTCAAAGTCCACGGAACTGATTGCTGCTGACAAGACCCCCATGGATGCCAAAATCAGAGAAGTTCCAGGAGAATCAGGATTTGGTCTCCCAGTGTCTCCAGGACGATTATCCCCTACAGAGGAAGGACGGCGATTTGACCAGGAGACTCGGCAGACACCACCTGGACCTGTAGTTGGACACATCAGCTCAGGAGCCACTGAGAGACAGCCTTACCTCCACAGGATGCTTGCCAAATGGGCTGGACTTCATACAGTCCTGAGAACACGAGACAGCAAAATCCATGCCCAGCCCCCAGGACAAGGATGGCCAGAGCTGACGCGGGCACGGGCAACCAGGGGACTGGGTGTCTGGATGCAGTGAGGGAGGATGAGGGAGACGGCAGGGCGCGGTAGGAACCCCTGGGCCAGCGGGCTCCAGGCAGCGGAGGCGGCCTGTTGGTGATCGGTCAGCCAGTTACTGTGCCCTTTACCTTGAGGATGGGACACAGGTCCTCTGGCGTCTCCTTGGACTCCCTGATGCCTCTGAGAAAGGCACAGCGCCCCAGTGCCCGCCGGAGGTGAGGTGGGAGCCAGGTGGGAGCAGTCAGTGCCCCTCACGAGCACTGCAGATGGCCGGCGGCCATGGCTCTCTAAGGCCCGCTTGGTGGATGCTGAGCCCTGCCCTCAGGGAGCGCTGGCCCCTCGGGTCCCTGGGCCCTGACAGTCCCACTGAGGCTCGGCTCCATTTCTGCAAATGGCTGCCTCCCACAGGAGAGCTCGGGGAGAGCTCCGGGCCGGGGTCAGACAGCAGCGTTGGCTCCTGTCAACAAAGAGTCAAACTCTGTAAAATGTGGGGAGATTCATTCTGAGCCCAAGACAAGTGACCGTGGGCCATGACCCAGCCCTCAGGAGGGCCTGAGGACATGTGTCCAGGGTGGTCAGAGAGTAGCTTGCTTTTATGCATTTTAGGGAGAATGAGACTTCAGGCAATACATTTAAGAAATATGCTGGTTCGGCTCAGAAAGGCAGGGCAATGCAAAGCAGTCAGGGGAGCAGAACTCTCAGGTTATAGGAAGATTTAAAAACTTTCCGGTGGACAATTGGTTACATTTATCTAAAGACCTGGGATCAATAATAGAAAGGAATGCCTGAGTTCAGATCCAGGATCCTGGAAACCCAGGTTCTTATTTGTGGAGGAGGCCTTCAGGTAGCAGCTTCAGAGGGCTGTGAAATGTTTCTCATCAGACTTCAGGTCTGTGTGGACGTTAATGCTGGAAAGGTAGAACGAGGCATGTCTGACCCCCGTTCCCGTCATGGCTGGAAACCACCTCTCGGGTTACATTTTAAGAGGGCTCTGGTGAGGACGAGGTCCACTCAGATGGTTGGGAACCTTAGTGTTTTATTTTTGGCTTACGCTCTGTTGGTGGGTGATGACGAGTGTCAGGCATGGCCCCTTGCAACGTGAGGGAAGGCAGCAGGGCCTGTGGCCAGGGCTGGTGGGAGCCCTACCAGACATTCCATGGAAACACCTGGTGGAGGAGGCTCTCAGCAAATGCCCGCAGTCCCTGCACCCGGCTGGCACATCTCCACGAGCGCGCCTCCTCCACACACTCATCGTGGGCAGGTTTGGTCATCACTGACGGGCTGCTCTGCCTCTCCTCTCCTCTGGCTCGGGACCTTCAGTATCCCGACAGGAAGGAATGCGGTACAAGTGCATCCCAAGACGCACGCTGCAGGTCACCCCAAGGCCTCACAGACCCCAGTCACCCCGGGATGGATCCCTCCCCAGGTTGTGACCTTGCTCCCCTCCTGCTGGAAACCTTCTCCAGACACAAGCCCCTCAGGTGGCAGGGCTCATCTTGTCCTGGAGGCTGCCTTCCCCTCCCCTGATGCTCCAGACCCCTCCAGGTCACCTGGAGATGGATGCAGAGAAGCTGCCCAGCTCCCCATGTCCAGGGTCACCTCACTGCCGGGACCCCCTCCAGTGGGCTTGCACCCCCCTGCCACCCCATTCTGATCCCGGCTCTGCTGAGGCCATCCTGCTGCCTGCCAGGACCAGGTGCCAGGGCAGGTTGCTGCTGGATGGGCTTCCTTGCTGGGTTACCTGCTCCGATGGGGAGAAAGGTCCTCCTTACACCGCACTGACAATGGCCTTGGAAATGTTCCCCTTGCGGCCCTGTAGGTGTGTGATGGGCCCTCCAGGTGTGTGACGGGCCCTCCAGGTGTGTGATGAGTCCTGCAGGTGTGTGCTGGACCCTCCAGGTGTGTGACGGGCTCTGCAGGTGTGTGACAAGTCCTCCAGGTGTGTGATGGGCCCTCCAGGTGTGTGACAAGTCCTCCAGGTGTGTGATGGATCCTCCAGGTGTGACAAGTCCTCCAGGTGTGTGATGGGCCCTCCAGGTGTGTGACAAGTCCTCCAGGTGTGTGATGGGCCCTCCAGGTGTGTGACAAGTCCTCCAGGTGTGTGATGGGCCCTCCAGGTGTGTGACAAGTCCTCCAGGTGTGTGATGGGCCCTCCAGGTGTGTGACAAGTCCTCCAGGTGTGTGATGGATCCTCCAGGTGTGACAAGTCCTCCAGGTGTGTGATGGGCCCTCCAGGTGTGTGACAAGTCCTCCAGGTGTGTGATGGGCCCTCCAGGTGTGTGACAAGTCCTCCAGGTGTGTGATGGGCCCTCCAGGTGTGTGACAAGTCCTCCAGGTGTGTGATGGATCCTCCAGGTGTGACAAGTCCTCCAGGTGTGTGATGAGTCCTCCAGGTGTGTGACGGGCCCTCCAGGTGTGTGACGGGCTCTGCAGGTGTGCGAAGGACCCTCCAGGTGTGTGTCAGGCTCTCCAGTTGTGCGTGGGCCGTTCCGGGTTTCATGGGCCCTCGGATGTGTGATGAGGCATCTTCCCGGGAACAGCAGGCAGGTTACTTTGTGCCCTCTCCCAGGCCACACCACATGGCTTGTGGTCCACTGAAACCATCAGGTCTTCTCCCAGCACTTTAAGAGGCCAAGACAGGCGGATCACGAGGTCAGGAGATAGAGACCATCCTGGCTAACATGGAGAAACCCCATCTCTACTAAAAATACAAAAAACTAGTCAGGTGTGATGGTGGGCCCCTGCAGTCCCAGCTACTCAGGAGGCTGAGGCAGGAGAATGGCGTGAACCCTGGAGGCAGAGATTGCAGTGAGCCGAGACTGCGCCACTGCACTCAGCCTGGGCGACAGAGCGAGAATCTGAGAAAGAAAGAAAGAAAGAAAGAAAGAAAGAAAGAAAGAGAGAGAGAGAGAGAGAAAGAAAGAAAGAAGAAAGAAAGAAAGAAAGAAAGAAAGAAAGAAAGAAAGAAAGAAAGAAAGAAAGAAAGAAAGAAAGGAAAGAAAAACAAACCAAGTCTTCATCTGAGCTACTCCCAAGTCAAGGCCCTTAATACTGTGCTCTAGTAAACGAAAATGTAGCTCATTTTGTTCCTCCCTTGGGAGGCGTCGAATCGTCAGTCTGTTTCTCTACATATTGACCCTTTTGTTCAGATTGTGACAAGATCTGGCCATTGCCAGTCTTATCCAGGCCATGTGACAGGAGGTCAGCCAGGGGAACCACCTTGAGGTCAGTGCATGTTTAGAGTCCAGTGCTCTGTGGGCTGGAGTGCAGGGCAGTAAACCCACCGCCGCCCGTTCACTGTGATTTAGGGTCCAGTTCACCGCACTGTGGGCTGGAGTGCAGGGCAGTAAACCCACCGCTGCCCGTTCACCGTGAGTGAATGCCGCGTTTAAAACGCTAACCGAATTTGGCGTTCTTGCTGACACATTTTTATTGCTATTGTACGAGGTATCAGTGCAGAACGGGTTTGGATTGGTGACGGCTTTATTTGCGCCCCGCTGTGTCAAGCTCCCCAGCGGAGACCCTCACCTAGCACTGTACTCCCCACCGGCCAATTGGACCAACGTCGCGTGGAGGAAGAACTTGATGAAAGCTCATCTTGAGAAGCACACGCACCCCTCTAACTCACGTAACAGGACCTATGTGGCATGTGGTTGGAACAGGGTTTCCCAGGACCCTCGGGGGGACCAGTCCCCCTCTGTGGTGGGGCATCCTGGGAACTGAAGGGCGTCCTGCAGGCTCTGCACGCGGCACACAGGAATGCCAGCCACACACACACTTGACACACAATGCTGGCGCAGGAGGACCCAGGCCAGGAGGCTGTGTGGGTCGTCAGCCGGGTGAGGTGGTCAGCTGTGTCAGGTAGTAGCTAGGCCAGCACAAATATCCCAGTGTGCTGTGGGTGGCAGCTGCTGGTCCAGGGAGGACCCCAGGGTGAAAGGAGGGCACTGGGGTGGGAGCAGAACGGGGCCGCAGAGGACGGAGAGCCTGTCCCTGTGCCCTATGGCATCGTCAGGCCACGCTGGCTGTTGGCATCCAGGCCATTGGGTCTCCTGGGTCCTCCCCTCCACCCTGGAACAGTAGAGGGGTCCGAAGCCTGGTCTGACTGCTCGCTGGCCGAGGAGGAAACCTGCGCCCGGCAGCTCTCTGAGGGTCTCACAGTTGGGGAACAGCAAAGCCACAGCAGAGCTGGGGCTCCTGGCTGCCCTTTGGAGCCCCACAGCGGCGATAGGAGAGGAAGGCCTGGCACCCTTGGGGCCGACCGGCAGGTGCGTGGGCCGAAGGCACCCGTGGTTACTGCTGGGGCTGTCTCTTCCCTCTCTCTGGCTGTGGCCAGCACTGCAGGCCAAGATGCTCTGGGAGAGAGGGGCCAGCCACAGACCCGGGGGCTGTCGTCAGCCTGGCAGCACTACAGAAGGTGAGGTGGAGCGGGAAGCCTGAAGATTCCTGAAGGGGCCTTTGGCCCTGGAAAAGGCACATCAGAGCTGCGTGCTTGGAGGAAACGCTGTATATAAAATTTGGTTCCTCAATGCTGCTGGAATCTTCCACACCGTGGCTCCAGGACAAGCGTCGGGGCAGGTTACTTACGGGGAAGGGGGTTGGGGGAGGCTGGAGCAACTGGGAGTAAAATACTGGCTGCTGCCAGGGCAGGAGGGCGGACCAACCTCAAAGGGCCCAAAAGACCCAGAACCCGCTCCAGATGGGCAGGGCAGCCAGGAGTAGGTCACTGCTGCCGTCTGCTGTCGGAAGCAGGAGTTTCATTCTGCCCACGTGGCCTCCAAGTTCCAGCAGAAGACAGCTCCTCAGGAAGCAGGGAGCTCAGGGCCTGATGGGGCCATTAGGCCTTTTTATTTACCTGAAATGATGGCCCAAGGCTGGGTGAGGCTTCACAGATGTGAGAAGCAGCTGGCATCACAGTGGGTGGAGCGGGGAGCTGGCAGCAAGGCTTGGTTGGTTCTTGGCCCCACCTGTGCAGCTTCTGCGGCCCCGGGTGTCCATTTCCACCTCCCGAGATTCCTTGGGCCCAGGCCTGTAGTGGACACAAGCAGGTCCCGGACACACAGCCAAGCAGATGCGCAGCCATGTAGACAAGGAGCCCAGGAAGCACACAGGCTGACCCCGTGACACTTCCCCCCAGACACTCACTCAGGGGTCCACACCCACCATGGCCCATCAGCCAGGCCATTGGGAGGATGACAGCATATCCATGGGATTGGGGGTCAGCAGTGCTTTCCCGACCCCTCCTCCATGATTCTGGCCTGCCGAGCACTGACTGCCCTCTCTAGGAGCCCATGTCCAGCCAGGGTGCTGCCCCAGCGCCCATCGGGGCCATGGAGCGGGGCTCAGGCTGACCCATGAAAAGCCCACGTCCTGCCACAGGGACTCAGGGGACTTCTCATCGTTCCCAAGAGATGGTGTGGAGTTCTCAAAAACCTGCCTGAGCACACATTTATATCTGGCAATTTTTTAAAAAACTAACTACTGAGGAGTCACATAGACATGACTCAGCATGAAAGGAACCAGCCCCAGAAGAGCCCACAGCACCGGTTCAAGACCAGGCAAAACTAGCAGAAGGGACCAACGTCTGCCTGGCACCTGCCTCCTGGGACTGAAGCCCAGTGACTGGGGAGGCACAAAGAGGAAACTTCTATTTATTGTTCTTGACATCAAAAATGTTAAATTACTTATGAGTGGCTTTGACCAAAACAAGTGGTGGACATATACTCGGAAAGCTACATGAGAAAGTTAACCAGGAGGCCCTGGGCTGAGGCGGCTTCAGTGCCTGGGACCCTGTGTGAGCACACCGAAGCCCACTGGGAACTGGGCCACGAAACTGACACTGCCCAGAAACTGCCAAACCAGCCTCTCACCAGGGACTTCCTTTTAACCAGATGTCTTGTCTTTGTCCCGCTTCTGCAGACACTTAGAAAAGAGCTCCGCCCCTCAACCTCAGTGGAGCGCTGAACCTCACGCTGAACCTCACACGTTCTGGTACTGCTCAGTTCATGAATTGCTGAACGCTCCAACAGACCCCTTTGAATCTCAGTGTGCATGAGCTTATCACCTAAAACTACAAAACGCTACTGAGATAAATCGAAGGAGACCTGAATAAATTAAGAGATTTGTATTGTGGTATAATAAAAAATACATCTGGTCTTTGTCCCCTGTTCCAGGGACAGAACTCCTTAAATCTTTGGAATTTCCTGATAGGGGTGTCTGATTTCATAACAACTCTTTTTCACCACATTTGTTTACCCTAATGAGGTGACTCTTGGGGGACCCCAAGGTAGCTTTAGGGTGGGAGCTTGTTGCCAGAGGAACCAACCATGTAATTAGAGAGGAACTTCCAGCCCCCCTCACCGCCCCCACTCCTGGGAGGGGCCAGAGATTGAGTTTGTGTTCAATCACCAATGACCAATGACTTAATCAATCATACCTGTGTAATGAGGCCTAGATAAAAACTTTTGGGCATCAGGGTTGGGGAGCCCCCAGGCTGGGGAGCCCCCACGGTGCTCAGAGATCAGTGCCCACCTCCCCACTCTCTTCACTGAGCTGTTCATGGGTTTCCTTCATAATAAGCATGATTGTACGTAAAGCACTTTCCTGAGCCCTGGGAGGTGTTCTAGTGAATCTGAGGGGATGTAAAGTTCCCCAAATCTGCAGTTGTCAGGAGTGAGTGTGGGTTGCCTGGGTACCCATGTACGGCTGTCATCAGAAGTAGGGGCAGAGTCTTGTGGGACAGAGCCCTTCACCTTCAGGGTCTGTGACACTCCAGGTCGTCAGTGTCAGAAGAGTGTGTGTGACTCCCCAAAACAGGAAGGGCCTTTGAGATGAAGACGATTAAGAAGAAACAGGTCCAGGAGTGCTCTCCGGATTCCTCTTTTTGCCTAAAGCAGGGCATAGATTTACAAAGACAAAGGGCATTCTGTCCCCTCTTGCAGGGAGAACAAAGGCTAAGCCCTGAAGACAGTGTCAGGCCCTCACACCCGCAGATGCCCCGACAAGCTGTGCTCCCAGCCTCTGCCAGTCCTGTGCCTGGCCCCAAGCTGCCCACAGAGGGACCTCGGTGCTCCCATCTGTGGAGTGGGGTCATCACTCATGTCTCAGGCACCTTGGTGCTCCCATCGCCCCCTGCCTTGGGGACCTTGGTGCTCCCATCTGTAGAGTGGGGTCATCATTCTTGCTTGAGGGACCTCAGTGCAACCATCTGTAGAGTGGGGTCCTCACTCCCTGCCTCAAAGACCTCAGTGCTCCCATCTGGAGAATACGGTCATCACCCCCACCTCGGGGACCTCAGTGCTTCCATCTGTAGAGTGGGGTCCTCGCCCCCTGCCTCGGGCACCTCGGTGCTCCCATCTGTAGAGTGGGGTCATCACTCTTGCCTGAGGGACCTCAATGCACCCATCTGTAGAGTGGGGTCATCACCCCCTGCCTCAGAGACCTCGGTGCTCCCATCTGGAGAATATGGTCATCACCCCCACCTTGGGGACCTCACTGCTCCCATCTGTAGAGTGGGGTCCTCACCCCCTGCCTTGGGAACCTCGGTGCTCCCATCTGTAGAGTGGGGTCCTCGCCCCCTGCCTCGGGCACCTCGGTGCTCCCATCTGTAGAGTGGGGTCATCACTCTTGCCTGAGGGACCTCAATGCACCCATCTGTAGAGTGGGGTCATCACCCCCTGCCTCAGAGACCTCGGTGCTCCCATCTGGAGAATATGGTCATCACCCCCACCTTGGGGACCTCACTGCTCCCATCTGTAGAGTGGGGTCCTCACCCCCTGCCTTGGGCACCTCGGTGCTCCCATCTGTAGAGTGGGGTCATCACCCCCTGCCTGCCCCTCAAGGTGTTCAGGGCCAGAAGGGCTGTGTCCTGCCTCTCCCCAGAGTGGCCTGGCTTCTGTCCCTGAGGAGTTGCTTTCACATTGCCCTTTTCAGACCTGGACACAGCATTGCAACACGGAGAGTTGACCTCCCAGCCCAGACCAGCCCAGGTGCCTCTGCCCCTGTGTGCACCAGGGCTGGCCCCGCCTCTCCTGCAGGGCCCTGGGCAGCTTTCTCCCACAGCTGGGTCTGGGGTTCAGCAGGAGCCGGCGCCCAGGGGAGACACAGGAGAGACTCCCTCCCGCTCCAGGGCACGGGAGTCCTGCCGTCTCTGGTGAACCTTGCACCCACCACAGCCTTCAGAACCAGAGCCAGAGAGAAGACCCTGTCTCCCGGCAGAGCCACCCTTCCCCGGGGCCCCGGGATGTCCGTGGCGCTGGCGAGGCTTGGGAAGGCCGGGCGTTCAGAGGAACTCGGGATGTCCACGGCTGAGGGTTTTGTGGGGTCACGTGGGAAGGACACAGGGGAATTTCCACACCATTCACAGCACAGGGTTTCCCATGGGGGCTCTCTAGGCTGAGGCCTGTGGGGCCCTCATGGGCGTGTGGTCCTGGTGTGGGGAGGCCCAGCCTCTATGAGGTGATCATCATAAGGGACGTAGTGACAGCCCCGTCCCCCTCCAGCGAATGCTCAGCTGGGGAGGAGGTATGGAAATCCTGCCTTCCTTGCTTGGATCTCGGGTGTCTGTGGTTTCCAGGACGGAAACAGGCAGCCTGAGCCCTCAGCACCGGGGCCCCCACGGGGTGGTGCTGTTGGCCAGGGAGGAAAGAAGGGCAAGGTCGTCCCTGCGGGCCGGGCTGGAGCCGGGCGGGGCCTTTGCTTGTGGGAGGCGCCCGACGTCCCTTCGTGGACTGCGTGTGGATGGAACTGCTTTGGCCTCGGCTCTGCCCGGCCACACAGTGCCAGCACCACTCCCCCCCGCCGCCACCAACAGCACTGCCCACTCGGGGGAGATCCCGGCCGGGTTTCCAGACCTCAAGACTGAAAGGCATAGAGGGGCCCAGCCAGGCCCAGGCCCCAGCGCCTGCCCCAAGGCTGCACTCGCTCCCCGCCCCCCATGCCCTGCTCCCCAAGCCTCCTCCAGGCCCCAGCGCCTGCCCCAAGGCTGCATTCATCCCCCTGCTCCTCCTCCAGGCCCCACTGTAGTCACTCACAGGCGTCGCCAGGCCATGGCGCTGCGGCCCTCCCATTTCAAAGTGGTTGCCTTTTTTGCGAAACTCCACGTAGAGATGTGCTGAACTCGACTGTCTACGACGCCCAGAGGGAACGGGGCTCCAAGAGGCTGGGGACCGGCGGCACCTGCTGCTCTGTGTTCAGCACTCCGGACAGGGCCTGGCAGGGGCCACAGTGCAACGCGACCCCACTCTCGTAAGACAACCTATGCCTCTCTCCGTATATGGCACCATCTATATGCACAGGGATTGAATACATGGTCCCGTGTGTGGGCATCTAAACCCAGACAGAGAAAACTCTGGAAAGAACACACGATTGTTCCGACAGCCCCCAAGGAACCAGAACGTTGAACTGAGACTCGCCCTTTCCCACATCACCTGCAGTGAAAACACACAGAACACTTGGCAGGGGTGGGGGTGACACGGCAGGGAAGAGGTGGCCAGTGGCACGGACACAGGTGTTTGGAGCCCGGCAGGGACACAGCCAAGGTGTAGCTGGCGTGGCTGGAGGAACTGCGCCGGCTCAGGGTCTGTGCTGCTGTGTGGCCGCCGCTCCCGCCTGCCCAGGGCCGCTGTGTGGCCACCCCTCCGCCTGCCCAGGGCCGCTGTGTGGCCGCCGCTCCCGCCTGCCCAGGGCCGCTGTGTGGCTGCCGCTCCCGCCTGCCCAGGGCCGCTGTGTGGCCGCCGCTCCCGCCTGCTCAGGGCTGGGTTCCAAGGGGGCCACCTCGGAGGTGCAGGCACCATGTGGGGCTGGGCCATCTCCCCCAGCCTGGGAGGGCTCTGACAGCCTCGCTCACTTACTGGAATCTGCACAGGTCAGGGGCCAGTGGGGACTGAGGATAAAACTGAGGCAGACTGGGCCTGGGGCAACGGGGGCCACCACCCCAGGACCACTGGCCGGCCCTAGAAAGCCCAGGCGGCATCTGTGCCCCATAGGACTGAAGGCCAAGGGCAGCGTCCTTCTAGGGGGAGCCTGGGCTTCCACCCCTCCCTGGATGTCACCACAGCTGATTTGCTGAGCTCAGGGCTGTGCATCTACAGGGGGTTCCTGCCCTGGGCCCCTGCCTGGTCCACTCCATCGACCCCAGCGCTGCTGCCTGAGCCTCTCAGCCCAACGGGCCGGGCAGCAGCAGGAACACGCTCATGCTGGGCGGGGCGGCGGGGCAGAGGCAGCCCCCGGCCTCAGCAGCATCAACCACGTGGCAGGAGCTGCTCTCGGGCTCTGCGGCGCGTAGACCTGTTTCCTCAGGGATGTCTCCTGCTCCCCACAGTCTCCAAAGCCCAGCCTCGTCCCCTCCACTAAGACGGGGCTTGGCCTCACCGCTGACCATCCTGGACGCTGACTGCCGCTGCCAGGACCCTCTGAGTTCAGCGCCCACTGAGCCCTTCCCCAGACCCCCGGCCTGGCACAAGGCAGCCCCATTCCTTGGGTGTGTGGCTGCTGAGTGCCCTGAACAGCTCGCTCGGGACCTGCCCGCTTCTCTGATGGGAGTTGGGGCCCAAGCCAGGTGGCCACTCACATCCCACAGGGCGTGTGCCTGCGCCACGGAAATCTCCCTGAGGTAGGAAGGTGTGAGCCAGGCCTGGCCGCCCTGGAGTGCCCAGAATCAAGGCTCAGAGGAGCAGCACGTGGAACTTTACCCCCCGTGGCAACAATCACCTCTCCGGGGTCCCAGGAGTCAGCCCTTCCCACCCCAGCACTGGCCCTGATCAGCTCTTCCCCCGGACACTGTGACCCCCACCCCACCAGACAGTGAAGGAGGAACAGAATTACCCTGGGTTTGAGGAAATGAGCTCAGAGCCCAACAGAAGGCAAAGGCGCGTCTGACTCTGGAAGGCTCACATTCTAACAGCTAAGCCACTGCCAAGCTCCTGTGTCTGCAGAGCCATGGGACCTCCCTGTCCTAGAGGTGGCTGCCGCCAGCATACCCAGAATGAGGCCAGCCACACGCGGCGACAGGACGAATACACGGGTGGACAGACTCATGCCGATGTTTGCTCTGTGGGGGAGGGTGCTGGGAGCCACCCGGCAGAGCTGCCGCCTCCTGCCCCACCAAGGGGACAAACCAACCGTATTTCCGGAAGCTTCTCTGGGTGCCTTTCTGGTTGGCACAGTTGGAGGCCGCAACTGAGTCACACCCAACTGCCCGGCAGCCTGTCCAGGACAGCCCGTCCAGGGCCCATTTCCGGTTGTCTGGGAAATGATGACTCTGGGGCCGATGGGCACTTATCTTCTGTGGTGTCTTTCAGTCAAGGGTGGGTGCTGGCTTTGGGGGGTCCCCTTTCTCTCTGCAGCCTGGATGGTGCCCCACTTTGATCAGAGGAAACTACCCAGTGGGACAAGCTCTGCGTGGCATGCGGCTCCCTGAAAAGGGCCCCTCCCTCCCTGGCTGAGTGATGGGCAGAGCTCACCCTCTGGGAGCCTCTGCATTATCATGTGCACCACAGGGACGGCCCCCATGTGTCTCCACGGGAATAGACAGTGCACACAGCATCTCCGCCTGTGGCCTCTGACTGCCTTAGAGACACCCGGATCAGAGATGCTGCAGGTCACCTGCCCGTGCCCTCCTGTGCACATGTGTGGTATGTACGAGCATGTATGTGCTGTGTACATATGAATATGCACGTGTGCGTGTCTGAACGAGAGGGCTCTGGGTGGATTCTGGTGAAACTCGTCTTACAGGCATGTCCTGGAGCCCCCCACACCCCTAGGAAGACTCCCTCTCCTCCTCTGAGTGGGGAGCATGTGGCTTCCCTCCAGGGACAGATCCTAGTGCCAGCACCACAGTCTCTGTTGCTCTCGCAGTCACAGCCGGGGCTCAGCTGCGTCCACCGTGCTCCTGGCTCCTGCAGGGACTTTGGTGACACAGCAGATGCTCCATCCCTGCCCTGCACCTCTCACTCCTGCCTGGTGGGGGTGCTTCCAGGAGCTGCAGCTCACACGAGGCCCACAAAGGGCTGAGCCTCCCCTGCTGTGCCCCAGGGGCCTCTGTCCCCACCCAACAAGCCACTGAGCAAGAGGCCAGGGCAGGAAGGGGCTGGAGTCCTCCAGCTGGTGGAGACGAGGAGCAGCTGGTGGAGACGAGGAGCATCCGGTGGAGATGAGGAGCATCCGGTGGAGATGAGGAGCATCTCGTGGGGAGGAGGAGCATCTGGCAGAGACGAGGAGCATCTGGCGGAGACGAGGAGGAGCATCTGGCGGAGACGAGGAGGAGGATCTGGCGGAGACGAGGAGGAGGATCTGGCGGAGACGAGGAGGAGGATCTGGCAGAGAGGAGGAGTAGGATCTGGCGGAGAGGAGGAGTAGGATCTGGCGGAGAGGAGGAGCATCCGGCGGGGATGAGGAGCATCCAGTGGGGATGAGGAGCAGCTGGTGGAGAGGAGCAGCAGCTGGTGGAGACGAGGAGCATCCGGTGGAGATGAGGAGCATCTCGAGGAGAGGAGGAGCATCTGGTGGAGAGGAGGAGCATCCCGTGGAGACGAGGAGCATCCCGTGGAGACGAGGAGCATCTGGCGGAGACGAGGAGCATCTGGCGGAGAGGAGGAGTAGTATCTGGCGGAGAGGAGTAGTATCTGGCAGAGAGGAGTAGTATCTGGTGGAGAGGAGGAGTAGTATCTGGTGGAGAGGAGGAGCATCCGGCGGAGAGGAGGAGCATCCGGCGGAGACGAGGAGCATCCGGCGGTGACGAGGAGCATCCGGCGGAGATGAGGAGCATCCGGTGGAGAGGAGGAGCATCTCGAGGAGCGGAGGAGCATCTGGCGGAGACGAGGAGCATCTCGTGGAGCGGAGGAGCATCTGGCGGAGACGAGGAGCATCTCGTGGAGAGGAGGAGCATCTCGTGGAGAGGAGGAGCATCTCGTGGAGCGGAGGAGCATCTGGCAGAGACGAGGAGTAGTGTCTGGCGGAGACGAGGAGTAGTGTCTGGCAGAGACAAGGAGTAGTGTCTGGCAGAGACGAGGAGTAGTGTCTGGCGGAGAGGAGGAGTAGTGTCTGGCAGAGACGAGGAGTAGTGTCTGGCAGAGAGGAGGAGCATCCGGCGGAGACGAGGAGCAGCCGGCGGAGACGAGGAGCAGCCGGCGGAGACGAGGAGCAGCCGGTGGAGACGAGGAGCATCTCGAGGAGAGGAGGAGCATCTCGAGGAGAGGAGGAGCATCCGGTGGAGAGGAGGAGCATCTCGCAGAGAGGAGGAGCATCTCGCGGAGACGAGGAGCATCTGGCGGAGACGAGGAGGAGCATCTGGCGGAGACGAGGAGTAGGATCTGGCAGAGAGGAGGAGTAGGATCTGGCGGAGAGGAGGAGTAGGATCTGGCAGAGAGGAGTAGGATCTGGCGGAGAGGAGGAGTAGGATCTGGCGGAGAGGTGGAGTAGTATCTGGCGGAGAGGAGGAGTAGGATCTGGCGGAGAGGAGGAGTAGTATTTGGCGAAGAGGAGGAGCATCCGGCGGAGACAAGGAGCATCCGGTGGAGACGAGGAGCACCCGGTGGAGACGAGGAGCATCTCGAGGAGACGAGGAGCATCTCGACGAGAGGAGGAACATCCGGTGGAGAGGAGGAGCATCTGGTGGAGACGAGGAGCATCTGGTGGAGAGGAGGAGTAGTATCTGGTGGAGAGGAGTAGTATCTGGTGGAGAGGAGGAGCATCTGGTGGAGAGGAGGAGCATCTGGTGGAGAGGAGGAGCATCTGGTGGAGAGGAGGAGCATCTTCCCGTGCTTGTTTATTGTGTTTGTTGAAGGTCACGTCATCACTCACCCAGTGGGCAGTGGGTTTCAGGCGTGGCTCACACCTGGTGTGGTCATCGGCACCCCAGCGTTGCTCAGAGCTGGCGGGATCTTTAGCCCAAAGGCGCAGTCTGTGCTCTCGCTCCTTCCAGGCCTGGCCAGTCCCACAAGAAGAAAACAGAAACCTCAGTGCCTGGCAGAGAAGGCTCTTGGGCGGCAAGTAGGTGGCCGGATCGCCCTCCGTCCCGCCTCCTGTGCCCCCAGCCCCTCTGCACCCCGTCTCCTTCCTCTTCTTCGCCAAGCTCTGAGCACCCTCTCCGGGGCGCTAGGTGCTCTCCTTTGCCCTCTTCCTGGTGGAGTACGGGATGCAGCACACCCAGCTGGTCTGCATCCTGCAGGGCGAGAGGAGGGCAGGTGGGTGAGAAAGGGTCCTGGGCCAGCACTGTGGCCACAGGCACCCCGAGAGCAGCACCCCCAACCTGAAGTGCACTGGGAGGTCTGCCCTGCACTTGTGTATGCACCCCCTTTCATCAAGTGCACTGGGGAGTCTCCCCTGTACCTGCATATGCACCCCCGTTCATCAAGTGCACTGGGGGGTCTCCCCTGTACCTGCATATGCTCCCATTTCATCAAGCACACTGGGGGGGTCTCCCCTGCACCTGCATATGCATCCCCTTTTATCAAGCACACTGGGGGGTCTCCCCGCACCTCTGCATGCAACCCCTTTCATCAAGCGCACTGGGGGGTCTCCCCTGCACTCTGCCTGCACCCCCTTTCATCAAGCGCACTGGGGGTCTCCCCTGCACTCTGCATGCACCTCCTTTCATCAAGCACACTGGGGGGTCTCCCCTGCACTCTGCACCCCCTTTCATCAAGCACACTGGGGGATCTCCCCTGCACCTCTGCATGCACCCCCTTTCATCAAGCACACTGGGGGGTCTCCCCCGCACTCTGCCTGCACCCCCTTTCATCAAGTGCACTGGGGGGTCTCCCCTGCACTCTGCCTGCACCCCCTTTCATCAAGCACACTGGGGGTCTCCCCTGCACTCCACATGCACCCCCTTTCATCAAGCACACTGGGGGTCTCCCCTGCACTCTGCCTGCACCCCCTTTCATCAAGCGCACTGGGGGGTCTCCCCTGCACTCTGCCTGCACCCCCTTTCATCAAGCACACTGGGGGTCTCCCCTGCACTCTGCCTGCACCCCCTTTCATCAAGCACACTGGGGGTCTCCTCTGCACTCCACATGTACCCCCTTTCATCAAGCACACTGGGGGTCTCCCCTGCACTCTGCCTGTACCCCCTTTCATCAAGCGCACTGGGAGTTCTCCCCTGCACTCTGCCTGCACCCCCTTTCATCAAGCACACTGGTGGGTCTCCCCTGCACTCTGTATTCACCCCCTTTCATCAAGCGCACTGGGGGTCTCCCCTGCACTCCATATGCACCCCCTTTCATCAAGCACACTGGGGTCTCCCCTGCACTCTGTATGCACCCCCTTTCATCAAGTGCACTGGGGGGGTCTCCCCTGCACTCTGCCTGCACCCCCTTTCATCAAGCACACTGGGGGATCTCCCCTACACTCTGCCTGCACCCCTTTCATCAAGTGCACCGGGGGGGTCTCCCCTGCACTCTGTATGCACCCCCTTTCATCAAGCACACTGGGGGTCTCCCCTGCACTCCACATGCACCCCCTTTCATCAAGCGCACTGGGGGGTCTCCCCTGCACTCTGCCTGCACCCCCTTTCATCAAGTGCACTGGGGGTCTCCCCTGCACTCCACATGCACCCCCTTTCATCAAGTGCACTGGGGGTCTCCCCTGCACTCTGCATGCACCCCATTTCATCAAGCCTTAGGGGCTGTGGTGAGTGGCGGATGAGAAGCCCAGTTTGCTGGTTTCTGCTTGAGCCCTGACTGGGAGGACATGCAGGTCTCCAGAAGGATGCCTGAAGACAAAACAGCAAAAAGCACAAGGGCCCTGCCTCCGTCCCCACCTGGAGCCACTATGTTCTTAAAAGATCAGTGACCTGGGTCCGTGCCTTTTCCTGCACACGACGTCTGCCGCGGTTCGTGATTACGCCTCTGTAATCTACAGCCAAACATGCCCTCGCACTCAAACCTTGATGTGATTCTGCATGCGCCCAGCCCCCGCCGCCTGTCCAGGAACCGTGAACAGAAACACGGCGTGGGGCAATGGACAGACGGCTCGCGGGCGACAGCCTCAGTGCACAGTCCTCACTAAGACTTCCACGTAAAACAAACTCTTGAAAAGCTTTTTTTTCCTTAATTGGCAATCATCGTGCCCATGAAGGGACTCCTAGCGGACTGCCCAGGGACACTGCAGGGACCTGGCACCTTGACCCCAGCACAGGCCCTTGGGGCCTCTCTGGCCCCTGCACAGCTGCACGTGGTGGGGTCTCTCCTGGGGTCTCTCTGGGTCCTCTCCTGGGGCTGTGCTAGGGCTCAGACCTCCTGCTTGGCTGACAGCCCTGAGTTTTGGAGACTTTTCATTTGTTAAGGAGAAAAATTCTCCTAGTTGAAAGATACTAGGGGCCAGGTGCTGTGACTCATGCTTGTAATCCCAGCACTTGGGAGGTTGAGGCAGGTGGATCACTTGAGCTCAGGAGTTAAAGACCAGCCTGACCAACATAGGGAGATCCCCATCTCTACTAAAATAAAAAATTAGCTGGGCATGATGGCACTTGTGGTCCCAGCTACTTGGGAGGCTGAGGCAGGAGAATCACTTGAGCCCAGGGGGTGGAGGTTGCAGTGAGCTGGGAACACACCACTACACTCCAGCCTGGGTGACAGAGTGAGATCTGCCTCAAAAAAGAAAAGGAAAAGATTCTAGGAAGAAATGGATGTGTGAGGCTGATTGGGTAGAATGTGTGAGGCTGCATGATTGGCTAGGATGTGTGAGGTTGTCTGATTGGGTAGAATGTGTGAGGCTGTCTGATTGGCTAGGATGTGTGAAGCTGTCTGGCCAGGTTGAGCAGGTGCTTCCCCTTTTAATCTGACTCCCAGTGGGAAATGAATCATAACAAAGTGAAACAACAGGCACTGGACAACCAACCTCCAGTCAGTGCCCAGCAGGCGTGTGACACATGGAGCCCTTCTAGATGGGAGGGGTTCATGAAAGGAGATTTAATGCAGAAATGGTCAAAAATGGTGTTCTTAAACATTAAGGCATACCAGGCTTTCTAAGGCTGTCACTGGCCCACTCTTTTGCTTATTTTAAACCAATGAGCAAATTATATCAAGGAAAATTTGGAGCTCAAATGGCAATCTGCGATGATAGAGTTAACATGTGGACTTGTCCAAGTTATCTCTCTTTTTATCCTGAAGCAAAATGACTGGCTATTTTAAAAAGAAGTGTAGGACAAAGCACAAAGTCCAAGCATGTCAGAATGGTCTGTAAAAGTCATGATAAGGTTTATGAAAAGATAATTTTGAAAAGAATTCTGTGTGTAAGTTGGCTGTGATTAAAAGGGAATTATTTATATGTCCTTCTAAAGATTGAGCTTTGGGCCAGGCATGGTGGCTCATGCCTGTAATCCCAGCACTTTGGGAGGCCAAGGCAGGCAGATCATGAGGTCAGGAGATCGAGACCATCCTGGCTAACATGGTGAAACCTTGTCTCTACTAAAAATACAAAAAAAAAAATTAGCCAGACATGGTGGTGGGCGCCTGTAGTCTCAGCTACTTGGGAGCTGAGGCAGGAGAATGGCGTGAACCCAGGAGGCGGAGCTTGCAGTGAGCTGAGATCGTGCCACTGCACTACAGCCTGGGCGACAGAGCGAGACTCTGTCTCAAAAAAAAAGATTGAGCTTTGATATTAAATATACATTAATACAAAACTAAAGATTGGTCCCCTATGTCACCACAAAGTTTCCTTAAAGTACTGGTTTGCTCTTAATGAAATTGCAAGAGGTTTTGATTTTTAACTCTGAAATCATTTCTTTTGAAACTGCTCAGGTCTACATCTCAGAAACTCAGCTTCTGCTGTCCCTTGTCACGTGTGGTTTGCAGGTCGTGCGTGGCTGCCTCAGCTCTTTCTCCCCTTAAGAAGGCCTGGGATAACAACTTTCTCCTTCAAACTTTTTGTCAAGTCCTGCAACTTTTTCCTCCAGTTCTAACTCTGCTGTTTAAGCAACGTTTTCCTTAAGTGCAGCTTCAATTTATACACTTGGCTTTTCTTGCTATGTCTGAATTGTTCAACATAATCAGGCAACTTCTCATGCTGTTACCAACAGCTGTGTGTTCCCCAGCTCAAGGCCCTAGTTTCCTTGTTTACTGTCCTCTGTAATCAAGTGCACACCCACAGCCCTGAAGATGCTCTTCCTGTGTCAGGCGAGGTTCCATCGGATCTGACTTCCAGGTTACCTGCATGGGCTTCCCTCAAGGAGAGGCAATCACACTGCAGGTTTTTCTGTACCTTTTGGTAACTGGCTTAAAAACCAAATATTTTATATTTTATCAAGATAATTTCTCCTTTATCTTTATTAGATTTTGATTACTTAAGACAACTGAGCTTTAAAAGGGTTATGGTTTTTACAGCAATGTAACTTCCTAAATTGCCTGTGAAGTCTTTTGATAATCACTCTGGTTAAATGAGTGACTATTATTTTTAAATGATCTGTAATTCTGTTTTGATTGTTTTGAACCTTTTGACATCTTTTGCAGGTTTCCACAGAATCAAAATCCTACATAAAGTCTTTTCAGATTAAACAATTACATTTGGTAAAACTCTATGGGTAGCATCATCAAATGATAAATGATACTAAATCTTCTTTTAGTTTTAATTGTGAGCATGTTATTGATATAAATGTTCTAAAAATTACATACATTTATATTAATATAATATCAGTCATAATTTTGATAATGTCCAATTGTAAACTATATTTGTATGGGCATGTTATCCGTGTGAATATTCTAAAGATTATGTGAAAATGTATAGAAGCTGGGCAGTCCTGATGTGACACTGTCAGTCATGATTTTGGTTGTTTTCTTACAATGTTATGTGTAATAGAAATAACTGTTTTCTTGTTGGTTAGAAGCTTTCATCAAATTTTAACTGTGGCTGTTCTAAGGTTTTGCATCTGTAGTCATTGTTCTGAAGTATTCTCTAAAAACATTTATAATCAGCTCTAGTCCAAAACTGCTTTTTGTGGAAAGGACTGTAATAAATATGGGTACAAAAAGGTGGGAAATATTAAGAGCACAATTAATGACATAATATACAAAAGTGGTTCCAGTTTTGTTCACTGGTTATCCATTTTTTTTCCAATCTGTAGTTACTGTGATGCTGTGAAGTGTGCAGTGCTCTGTGTGCTCTGTGTGATCTGTGGCTACTCTGGAACTATGAAGTGTGCAGAGCTGTGCGTGATCTGTGGCCCCTCTGATGCTATAAAGTGTGCAGTGCTCTCCATGATCTGTGGCTACTCTGGAACTATGAACTGTGCAGAGCTATGTGTGATCTGTGGCTACTCTGGAACTATGAAGTGTGCAGAGCTCTGCGTGATCTGTGGCCCCTCTGATGCTATGAAGTGTGCAGTGCTCTGCGTGATCTGTGGTTTCCCTGTAACAGTCCTGGGGATGTATTGTGTTGGGCAGGTACAGGAAAAGGCAACACTAGGAAAAAGAAAATCCAGATCATGCTAATTAAAAAAGAGATGGAGGCTGGGTGCGGTGGCTCACGCCTGTAATCCCAGCACATCGGGAGGCTGAGGCAGGTGGATCCTGAGGTCAGGAGATCGAGACCATCCTGGCTAACACGGCGAAACCCTGGCTCTACTAAAAATACAAAAAAAATCTAGCTGGGCGTGGTGGTGGGCGCCTGTAGTCCCAGCTACTCAGGAGGCTGAGGCAGGAGAATGGCGTGAACCTGGGGGGCGGAGCTTGCAGTGAGCCGAGATGGTGCCACTGCACTCCAGCCTGGGCAACAGAGTGAGACTGTGTCTCAAAAACAAAAAAAGAGATGGAGCCTGCCAAAGCATTTTCCAATGAACACGCAAGTGTGCACGTGAGCTGATGCCCATTCATTACAGCCACGGCTGAGGACTCTCGGCCTTCCTGGGCGGGAACCTCCCGGTATTGGGAAATCAGCATTGGGTCTTGTAAATGCAACTGGATGGTGATCCAAAGGGGGAATTTGTGAGATGAGGTAGCAAACCTAAGAAGCCACGTCAGCTCGTTTCTGCTGGCAGCTCTCCCCACTGCACGCCACCAGCAGCCCCACTGGGCAGGTTTTCTGGGATAGCTGAGTCAAGGGGGATGGAGGCTGAGACCAGGAGATTTCGACCCAGGATTGTCCAGCTTGGGGCAGAAAACAGCCATCGAGCTGTGTGCCGAGTGCCAAATCCATCATCAGGAAACGATGAGAAAAATAGAGCTGTACTTGGAAAATACCTGCCCATTTTAAGCCCAGACTCAGGAGTCAAAACAACCCCAATGTCCTAGTGAAAGCTGGTGTGACCTGGTTACGGTAGGAGTCAAAAGAGGCAGAGACTCTGCTGAGTTGGGGCAGAGTGCAATGTTCTCGAGGACTTTCTCTCTCCCTGGAGACATAAAAATCTGAGAGCAGGTAGCGCAGGTAGGGCTGTCATCATCACAGCAGCAATCCGTCAGCAAAGCCAGACCAGTCGGGGGCCGAGGGCTGCAGCTCTCAAAGCTGGCCCTGGGCAAGGATGCCGCTTGGCAGGTACAGCTGCAGCCCCTGTCCTCAGCCTCCCCGCTATCCTCAGCCTCAGCCCGTCCTCAGCCTTGCCCCTGTCCTCAGCCTCGGCCCCTGTCCTCAGCCTCGCCCCTGTCCTCAGCCTCGGCCCTGTCCTCAGCCTCGGCCCCTGTCCTCAGCTTCACCCCTGTCCTCAGCCTCGGTCCCTGTCCTCAGCCCTCGCCCCGTCCTCAGCCTCGGCCCGTCCTCAGCCTCTCCCGTCCTCAGCCTCGCCCCTGTCCTCAGCCTCGCCCCTGTCCTCAGCCTCGGCCCTGTCCTCAGCCTCGGCCCCTGTCCTCAGCTTCACCCCTGTCCTCAGCCTCAGCCCGTCCTCAGCCTCGGCCCCTGTCCTCAGCCTCGCCCCTGTCCTCAGCCTCACCCCTGTCCTCAGCCCTCGCTCCAGTCCTCAGCCTCGCCCCTGTCCTCAGCCTCGGCCCCTGTCCTCAGCCGCAGTCCTTGTCCTCAGCCACAGCCCCCTCTCCTCAGCCTCGCCCGTCCTCAGCCTTGCCCCTGTCCTCAGCCACGGCCCCTGTCCTCAGCCTCAGCTGCAGCCACTGTCCTCAGTGTCGAAAGTCAGGTGCTCCCATGTGCTTTTAAGAGGTGGAAGCTGGGGTGATTTTTAAACATTTCTCTCTGTTGTGCTATTCCACATAATTCCCGTTATTGTAAATGACTGGTTAAAATGTTAATGTAACTGTTGTTTGTTTGTTTGAGATGGAGTTTCGCTCTTGTCACCCAGGCTGGAGTGCAGTGGTGCTATCTCGGTTCACCGCAACCTCCGCCTCCTGGGTTCAAGCGATTCTCCTGCCTCGGCCTCCCTAGTAGCTGGAACTACAGGCACCTGTCACCACGCCCAGCTAATTTTTTGTATTTTGGTAAACACAGGGTTTCACCATGTTGGCCAGGATGGTCTCGATCTCCTGACCTCATGATCTGCCCACCTCAACCTCCCAAAGTGCTGGGATTACAGGCTGAAAGAAGGTTTAGTATCATGTGACTGTTTTATAAAGCCGATAGAACAATTCATCCTTTAAAAAAATCTGTAAGAAATCAAAATACTGATAAACTGTTAATTCTGAGTGGTAGGCATTTGGACAATTGCTTTTTGTATTTTTGTGTGTTGCTTAAAATAAAACACTATAGATCCATGGGCCCCCTTCAATGGGCCAGTGTCTTCTCTCCCCACACCCATCTTCAGGGCCTCGGGCCTCGGGGAGTCTTGGGGCTTCCCTGGACCTACACAGCATCCAGCCTGGGGACACGGATCATCTCTTCGGAGGCTGCCTAGCCCCGGCCCCAGGGCCCGAGGCTTGTTGTGAGAGAAGCCTGCTTGGCTGTGACACCAGCCGTGTATGCACGGCTTCCCACTACCTGCAGGACCCAAGTCTGCAGCTAAAACCTAAACAGGAGAAGTCAGTACCATGCACTTATCACCTCTCCCCCCTCCTTCCTCCCTACTCTCCCTCCTCTTCCCCCTTCTCATCAGGTCCTTTTCCTGGCTGGTGGGTAGGAGACACGGCCTGGTTATGGGGTGAGGTGGGGCATCGTGAAGCTCGTCCCTGAGCCCTTCGAAGGTCCGATGTCCTGTTCCCTGCCCTCAGTCCCTCAGGCTCGGCAGGTGCTGAGCCTCGGCAGTGCCCAGGGAGAAGGGGGGACCGCCTGGGCTCGGCTCTGCCCACCACACACAAGGCATGGTGGGCACACCAGAGACCGTGGTGGGGGGAAAGTCCTCCTACCCCCACCTAGTGTGAGCCCACAAGCATCACTCACTCGTCTTCTGACAGATCTTCCACATCCATCTGGGACGGCTTCTCTTCCTTCTTGGCATCGGTGACCACCTGTGGGGAGTGGAGACATTTAAGGGATGGGAGGTGTCAGCCACGGGCACTGAGGCATAGCCTGTGGACCTGCTGGAGGATCAGGCTAGGGCACAGAGGCTGGATGACCTCCCATCAGACAGGGCTCTCTATTGACTGGACATTTCCAGTTAGGGGAACCTGACCAAGGAACTGCACCCTTGATGAGGCCTGGCTCCTGGACTGAAGACCAGGTCTGGCCTGTCAGCCCAACTGTGCCACTGACTGGCCCTCCTTGAGTCCTTAGAACTCATGTGCCCCAAGAATAGCCTTGTTGGGGGTTAACAACCAGCTCTCTCTGTGGCTCTGAGGGCAAAAGGGAGAGAAGGTACAGTCTGGAAAATAACTGACCCCCAGGAAGGAGCTTAAACTTGCCAAGAAAGAACTTCAATAAACTTCCAGAATGATGACTGTTCACTACAGCAAAGACATGGAGGAACACACCCCAGATGTTAGTGTTGGAAGTGCCCAGACAGGTCATTAAGTCAGCCTCTTCTTCTTACAGATAAGGATGATGATTATGGTGGTGATAATGTTGATGGTGATGACGATGGTGATGATGATGATTATAATGGTGGTGATGATGACGGTGACTATACTGGTGATGGTGGTGATGATGACAGTGATGATGATTGTGACAATGATGATGGTGATTATAATGGTGATGGTGATGATGATGGTGACAATGGTGATGGTGATTATAATGGTGGTGATGATGGTGAAGGTGATGATGGTGATGATGGTGATGGTGATGATGGTGATGGTGATGATGGTAATTATAATGGTGGTGATGATGGTGAAGGTGATGATGGTGATAATGGTGATGGTGATGATGGTGATGGTGGTGATGATGGTGATGGTGATGATGGTGGTAATGGTGATGGTGATGATGGCGATGGTGATGGTGACAATGATGATGATTATGATGGTGATGATGATGGTGATGGTGATTATAATGTTGGTGATGATGGTGACAGTGATAGTGGTGATGATGATGATGGTGGTGATGATGGTCATGATAGTGATGGTGATGATGATGCTGGTGATGGGAATGATGGTGGTGATGTGATGATGGTATTAATGATGGTGATGATGATGATGGTGATGATGGTGATTATAATGGTGATGATGACAATGGTGACGGTGATAGTGGTGATGGTGATGATGATGATGGTGATGATGGTCATGATGATGGTGATTATAATGGTGGTGATGATGGGGATAGCGATAGTGGTGATGGTGATGATGATGGTGACAGTGATGGTGGTGATGATGGTCATGATAGTGATGGTGATGATGATGCTGGTGATGGGAATGATGGTGGTGATGTGATAATGACGGTGATGATATTAATGATGGTGATGATGATGATGGTGATGGTATTAATGATGGTGATGATGATGATGATGTGATAATGATGGTGATGGTATTAATGGTGATGATGACGGTGGTGATGATTATAATGGTGATGATGATGGTGATGGTGATTATAATGGTGGTGATGATGGTGAAGGTGATGATGGTAATAATGGTGATGGTAATAGTGACGATGATGGTGATAGTGATAGTGGTGATGGTGATGATGATGGTGACAGTGATGATGGTCATGATAGTGATGATGATGATGATGCTGCTGATGGGAATGATGGTGGTGATGTGATAATGATGGTGATATTAATGATGATGGTGATAATGTTTATGGGGATGATGTTGCTGGTGGTGATGATGATGATGGTTGTGATATAATGATGGTGTTGATGCTGAGGATAGTAATGGTGGTGATGATGATGATGATACCCCATGATGATGATGATAAGCTTTCCTGGGTGTGAGGCACTGCTCTGAGAGCTTTCCCAGACAACCCTGGAATGCGGGTACTAATATGATTCCTACTTTATAGAGGAGACAACTGAGGCACAGGGAAGTATGATGAGTTGTTTTGAGCATTTACTGACAGAACCACACATCCACCAAAGCCCAGTCTCTGAGCTTCCAGGCCTGTGCCCTTTTCACCATCCCAACGTGATCCCCCACAAGAGGTTCTGAGGACCCATGGGCACCTTGAAGGTTAACCCAGGCCCCAGAGTCTCTGATAGTGCTGAAGTGTGCGTGAGTTGGAGTGTGGGAGGGTAAGGAAGAGGCTAGACCAATCCTCAACACCAGGGAGCTCTCCTGGAGCTGCTGGCCCCAGGTCTCTGCCTCCCCATCCAACACATGGCTATTGTGGGGTAAGTTCCCAGAAAAGCCTCCCAGGCTGGCCCTGCCAGGCAGCACAGGCGCTTTCCTGGTGGCTTTGGCTCTGCTTGTCTTGCGGTTTTCCATTTTTACCTCCTCAGCATGGTCTCCCAGATCAATCTCCACAAACACAGATGCTTTCTGCGAATGGAAACCACAGAGGTGTGGATGGCAGGCTTGGGTGAGCTGGAGAGGAACGTTGATTCCCTGGGAGGAACAGTGGCCCCTGGCCCTTGGGGCAGCCGGGGCAGACCCTGGTGATGACCATCAGGTCCCCAGATCCTGGCAATGCTGAACGAGGGCTCCTGGGACGCTGGGCAGAGCTGACGGCAGTATGGACTGTGAGGTGCCCATGTAGGAGAAGGATGTAGGAGGGATATGGCTTTCTCACCCCTCCCTACTCACCTCCCATCAGGGCCCTGAGACCCCAGAGGGTCTCCTCCAACCTCATCCTCTGAGAACTCGGGCCTCCAGGAGATGGGGCAATGCCCAGATCTTGGGGAGCCGGGCTGCTCCCACCCCAGCCCTGCTCGACAAGGCAGCACTCCTGCCCCACAGCCTGCCTGTGGGCCACACTCCACACCAAGGAGCAGGAGACCCCCCCCCGGGATGTGAACGGCTTCAGCGGCTCAGGGTTTTGCTGTCCCAAGGCCTCCAACGGGGCACCTGGGCCAGCCCAGAACGTGTGTCTGATGGGAGCATTTGAGTCAACTCCAAGGGCAGTGTCTGGGGGTGGGTGAAGGACTTCCCAAGAGCCCTGGAATGAAACCAAGGCCCGCCTGGCAAGCAGCGTGTCTGGTTGTGTTACCGTCCCCACCACACAGCTTGGAGGGAGAACAAAAGCCACTTTCCTTCACACGGTGCCACGTGAGAACCCCCACAGCATGACGTGTCCCTGGACAACACATCAAGCCTGGGGCTCTGGGTGTTTTCTGGGCCAAGGTCAAGCTGAGGGCACCTCCTCTCAGGGCCTCATACACCTTTAGTGACTGCACGTTTGGCAAGCAGGGGTCAGGCTGCCCTGGGATCGGGTAAAGAGTCTCAGAGCTTGGCCCCAAGCCTCTCTAGGGTAGCAGGGGCCCAGTCAGTCCAGCTTCACAGCCTGGCGCCTGCTGAGCTGACCCCCAGGCCACCGTCCCGGGCAGGTCCAGGCTCCGGCAGAACTCCCGCCTGGACAGGCCTCCCTTCTCACTTCTATTACTAAAGGGAAAAGCTCTTGCCTCTTCTTCCTGAAGGTCATTTAGCTTTATGGACTCTGCCTCCTGTTCCTGTAAGACCAAAGAGGTTAAGTGAAGGCCGGGCTCCAAGGCAAGAGGAAAAAATGCACCGCTCCTCAGCGTGGCCCAACCTTGGCCTCCTGCAAGCCTCCGTCTGCGTGCTCGCCTTCCTGCACCTCCTGCATGCTGGCCTCCAAGTCGCTCTTCTCCCTCTCTGGGTCTTGTTTTCCACTCTCATGACCCAGCTTCCCAAGGGTGCTGAAGCTTTCCTTCTTGTCTTGTGCTAGGTTTTTCTGACTGCGGGAGGAGCAGGGAAAGTGGTTTGGAAGAGACGGCAGATAGCTGCGGGCAGCTCCTGGTCTCCTCCGGGTCTGTCTCCTTGGGCTTGAGGCTGGTGCCCCTGGGGTCTGGTGGGCACCTATGAGGTGCCCTGACCCAGCACAGAGTTCTGGCTCTGAAGGGCCCCACAGCCTGGCCCTCCTGGCTCCCTCTGCTGGCCCATCTTGCCTGGAAAACTTACCCTGTACAGCCAGGGTCTGGACTGGGATTACAGCCAACCTGGGCTTATTTTGGAAAGCAGGGTCTAACCTTGCTCAAAGAACCAAAATCTGATGAGAAGATGCAGCCACCCTGTCGCAGATCCACACTCCATGTGGATACCAAATGGGCCATGCTGGCCAGTAGGCTGGAGGGTCCACGGTTGGCCCTGCTGTTACTCGCACCAACCTCGTGACCCCTTCTGTGGTCTGCTATGGTGTGTGGCCAGGGGCAAGAGGAATGCAACAGGCAGTGAGGATGACAGGGGCTCCGCCACCATCTGCAATGGCGTTGACTTGGCCGAGGGTATTGACTGACTTGGCCAACGTGAGCAGACGCTTTCAGCTTTGCCACCCTAAAGGTGTGTGGTCTTCCCAGCTCAACTGCCCTCACCAAGGCCATCAGCTTCCCTGAGCTCTACGGAGTGGGAGGCTCCAGGCGCCGCACACATGCTGTCTAACACACGAACACTCACTCTCACCAACTGATTGCACCTTTGGCCGCTTCGGCGGCCGGACACCTTCCTTGGTCTCCACTCAACGGGAGCCATTTGTAAATAAGGGGGACTTGGCCCGTGCCTTGCCATGGTGCTGGTAAATCGACTTTGTTAGATCTGAGACAAATTTTTGAGGAATTCAATGACTTTTAAGTCTTCTTTGATGGCAGGAGGGTGAGTGGGTGGGAGAACCAGAGCTGGGTTAGAACGGGACGCGAGGTGCAGGGAGGCAAGAACTCGGCAGTACGAAGTGGGGATGTGCTGTCCAGGGCCCCACGCCCTCTCCCTAAAGGAGCACTCGAGTTGTTTACATCTAAGGTGGGCCCAGCAGTCCACTAGTGAGACGACGCCTCCTTCCCCAGAGGGCCATGGGGTGTCTACTGAGAGGGATGCAGCTGTGTGACCCTCAGGCCAGGGCCCGAGTCCTGAGGACACCACCCCGCTACAGGTGGGTCCTGTTCCCACGCTGAATTCCTCTCAAAATAAGGAGGATTTCCCAGCCCTCCCATCCAGGCCCTGCGCGGGGTCTTCGCAGGACCCAGGGCTCCCTCTGTCCCCTTCTAAGTGTCTACCTTGATGCCCGGGTACCACTCCCACACCCCACCCTCTCCTGTGTCCACCTCACTTTTCCCAGCTCCACCTTCACAAAGGCCAGCGTCGGACAGGCTGCTTACCAGCTGGCATCTTCCGCGTTACTGCTTGGGTCTTTCCCTTGATCTTCGGACTCTGGGGAGGAAGGACAGAGCCGTCAGCACCATTACACCGCAGCTACCGGAGCTCAGGACCTGCCCCAAGCCGCCCACAGCCACCCACAGCAGAGCTCAACTCTCAGCCATGGCTACAGCTAACTTGAGTTTCTCCCCGACCTGTGCCCATGCCCGGCCCTCCGGTATTTGCTATCGGCACTTTCCACAGCCTGGTGCCAGGGCCTTGAGCCTGGCTCAGCCCCAGCAGCTCAGCCCACACCTGGGCTCCACCTTCTCCCTGCAGGACTCAGGGTGAGGCATGGCCAGCCGCCTTACAGTAAACACATGAGGCTCCGGGACCTCTTGAAACTCCTCTTTGTCCTAGCACAGCTGGCTGGAGGTAGCTGAGCGGGAGGGTGGGAGAAGCCCACAAGACCTGCCCATGCCGGCTACTACCCCCAACCCAGGCTTCCTCTCACGGACAGGTGGGACTTGAAACCCCACTTGGCTTGTCCAGGAAAATCCACCAATCCCCAGGGTCTCTGGGCTCCCCGAGAGGCATTGCGGGATGTTTCTAGCAGTCTTTTTTCGGGACCACTTTATGTCTCGTGAGGATCTTTACCTTGATGTGACAGAGGACAGGGGCCCAGGAACATCAACTCGGGTGAGCGGTGCTCTGGTGCTCCCGGCAGGAACCCAAGCCTGGCTGTTGGCCACCGGCTTGCACCGAGCACACACTGCTCCCTGGCACACTTGGCTAAAGGTGTTGACTGACTTGGCCAACGTGAAACATTCCATTCTAGTTAAACACTGAGTTCTCCGTTCCCAGGAGCTTGCAAACCAGCACAGCCTTGTGAGGAAGTCATGTGGCAGAGGATTCTCCAAGCCCTAGGTGCTCAGGAGAGCCTTGGAGTGAGCGGATTCCAGATCCCACAGGGCCTCCAGCCGCATCGGAGCCGGGAATGTTTGCGGAGACCCTGGCTTCCCGCAGCTACTCCCTCTTCCCACAACACCCCCTTGGCCCGGGATTCAAATACAACAGGGATGATTCCAAAGCTTTAAATGATGCTTGTGATGGAAGAGACCAGACCTCCTCCCAGAGCTCGGCAGAGTCACATGGGCCACTCCAGGCAGGTCACTCAGCTCAGCCCACAGGCCCAAGGGGCAGCTGGGGAATGGGGCTCTTCCAGGGAAATGAGACCAATGGCCGACCACGAGGGGCTGCCCCCAACAGAGAAGCCACGAGTGGGGCCCAGAGGTGGAGCGCAGAGCCTTTGCAGAATCAACAGGCGTCCAGGGTGCATGTGGGCTCAAGGCAGGGCCTCAGTGGGTCTGGAACCCAGCGGATTCTCACTGTGCTCTTGCCGGCCTCTCTGGGCTGCCCTCCGTGAGCGCTGGTCTCCTGTGCTCCGCATGGCCCAGGCCCAGACACACCCCACTGGTGCCCCCGTGAAGTCGGCCACCCCACGTCTCCCGCATCCCGGAGGCCTCCCTGTGAAGTGGACGCGGCGTCTCACACATCCGGGCACCTGTGGGTGCACGTGGCACTGGGCATGTCATGGAGCCCACCAAGTCTGCGAGGGGTGAGGAGCTGAGTCCCTGCAGAAACCAAGGCCACGTCGGACTCTACCAGTGGTCAGCAAGGCCCGGCCCTTCTCCTCGGGTCACAGGGCTGGAAATGCCTCCTGCTCTTCTCCGGCAGAATCTCAGTTGTCTGGGGGCAGCCACAAAGCTCCAGGGAGGATGCGCTCCTGGGCCGTGGTCTCGAACCCTGAGGGTGCTGGTGCCTGGGGGAGGCTGTGCAGGGTGGACATCTTTGCCAGACAGGACAAGCGGCCACACAGAAGCCCGGCCTCCCTGCTGCGGCACCTCCCATCGTGCAGTTTTGGGCAAATCCAGCAGGTGTTGAGGGAAATGTCAGCCACAATGGGGCTCAATCCCTCCCTCCATCCGACCCCGGCCTCTAAGTCCGCACTGTGGTGGCATCGGGCGGCATTATTGGAGATCCACTCCCCGCCCCAACTTAAATTCCCGCTAAGCAGCCTTGGCGTAACTTATTCTTTTGAGAACTTTGCACGTCTTGAGGGAACCCCGTGGGGAGGGAGGTAGGGTGCAGCCTCCTAACTACTCACGCCCCCCAAATAGCACATATTTGGATTTTTAAACTCAGAGAAGAACACATATTTTTACATCATTACCTCTTAAAATTGTCCCCAGGGCTTGAGCAAGCAAACCCCGAGTCCTACCGGGCTGTCTCACTTCCACGGCCCCGTGGACACCTTTGCGAAGGGGAGGCGGAGCTGCCGAGGCCGCGGGAGGGGAGGGGAGCGCCAGCTCGCAGCTCCGTGTCAGCCCCTCAGCCCTGTGCTCTGGGCCAGTATTCAAGGTGTGAGGAGGTGACTGCAGCACCATCCCCAGGCCCACACCACCGTCCGTTCGGCACACCTGGAAACATCTCAGAGTGGCGAGTGTGGACCGACACAGGGGCAGCCTACACGTTTCGCGGTTTAGAAGCCAACCGTGTCAAACACCAGCTACGCAGGTTCCTTGCTGGTGGGTGAGGCCCAGAGCTCCTGGCAGGGACCCAGGCCCTCACCAGGGCCTTCTTGCAAACGGGGCGCCTGGCTATGATCCTCCCTTCAGGCATCGGCTGGCTTCGGAGGCCCATGAGGGTCCCAGGCCTGCCCTCCTCTCACCCCTCCCGCCCTTGGCTGTGCCCGGCTGGAGCCCCCACAGCTCCGCCCCAGCAGCGCAAGGCCTTCCCAGCAGCCCTGGGTGGGTTACGGGTGTGGACCTGGAGTGCTCCCCACTTCCACCCTTAGCGTTCCGAGCACAGGGCAGCGGGAGGCAGGAGGCCCGGCCCGGTCCCTGCTGCCGGTGGAAGGAAAATGAATCTTGGGCCCTGAATCACTGAGCTAAGGGGAGGAGTAAGGCTGGGAATGTGTCAGACAAACCTGCCTCCCATCCTCTTCCTAAACAAGAGCTGCAGAGATAAACGGCCACAGGCCTCCCTCATCATTCACCCACGAGGAAATTCCTTGTGAGCCTTAAGATCTCTGCCCTAAGCAGTTTTGTGGAGTTTCACGCTGGGAATGCACGTGGACAGCTGACCGTCAACAGGCGCAGGACAGGGACAGAGATCACGGTCCTCCCTCTGCTCACCTGAGACAAGTGTGTCCGACAGCTCCCTCTGGGCTGCTCATGAAAAACCGCAGTCACGGAGCCGGACGAGGATACAAGTGACTCTCCCTCTAGTCCCCTCACGTGTAAATTGTGTGTTCAGTGAAAGGCTGATCGAGACCCAAAGAATGCAGCCCTGTGTCTCCTCTACCTACGACCTGGAAGCCCCTCCTGCTTCAGGCTGTCCCTTTCCGGACAGAACCGACGTACCCCCTCACAGGTGCTGATTGATGCCCCACGCCCCCCTGCAATGTATGACGTCAGGCCGTGCCCCGCCTTGGACACACGTCGTTGGACCTCCTGGGGCTGTCTCGGCGCATCCCTAACCTTGGGAACTTCCTAGAACTTTCTAACTGGGCTGGGCTCTGACGCAGGTACTTTGGGTTCAGTGCCTGGTGGGACAGCCGCGCCGTCCACCCGCTCCCCGCGGCCCCACAGCCCCTACCCAGCTCCTTGTGAGGCTTCCTAGGGCGGCTGGGAGGGTCCCCCTCGGGCTGCAGGCCTCCCAGACTCCTGCTTCGCTGAAGTTCAGAGGCCTCACTGGCCGCCTTGAGGTGCCCAAGGGCCACTCCTGAGGGCAGGGCCCTGAGGCCGGGCCGGTGCCTCCTGTGTGTGGTCCCCGTGTCCTTCTCCATCCTCCAGCCCAGCCTCGGCTTGAGCACAAGGCTGCCACCCTCACACCCAGCCGTCCCGCAGGGAGTAGTCAGGAGGTGCTGGGAGTGCGTTGCCATGGGTCTGCTGTGACATCACTGTAAGGTCAGAGGCCAAAGATCAGCCGATCCCTGGCAGCACAGCGTGGCTTTCCTGCAGGCCGGGGCTGGGGCGGGTTCTGCGTCTTCCCTTCTTCTTTCCCGCAGGCCGGGGCTGGGGCGGGTTCTGCGTCTTCCCTTCTTCTTTCCCGCAGGCCGGGGTTGGGGCGGGTTCTGCGTCTTCCCTTCTTCTTTCCCGCAGGCCGGGGCTGGGGCGGGTTCTGCGTCTTCCCTTCTTCTTTCCCGCAGGCCGGGGTTGGGGCGGGTTCTGCGTCTTCCCTTCTTCTTTCCCGCAGGCCGGGGCTGGGGCGGGTTCTGCGTCTTCCCTTCTTCTTTCCCGCAGGCCGGGGCTGGGGCGGGTTCTGCGTTTTCACATCTCTGGTCTCTCCACCAGGGAGGGCGGGGAACTGGCACCAGCCCTAGCAGGGCCTGCAGATGAGACGCCGGTCTCCCTCTGTGACAGGGTATTTGAATCTTTCTCTCCCTATCAGGGCAAATGGGACACAGATCAACTCAGGAAGACAAAGGCAGCCCCTGCAGGCAGTGGTGGGGTGCAAATGCTGCCGGCCCAGCGCCTCTCCCCACCCACACGGCGCCAGGACGAAACCCTGATGTGGCCGGGGCTCCGGCGAGGGCTTTCCGGGCCGACGGTGTGAACTGCACAGGTCAGCGTGGGTTTGCTGGCACTCCCAGGCAGGCGGCTTAAACAGCGGGAGCTCATTCCCTCCGGTGCTGGGGGCAAGGTGTCTCGCAGCGCTGGTTACCCGAGGCCTCTCTCCTTGGCGCGAAGATGACGTATTCCGTGTCCTCACGTGGTGGTCCTGTGTGCTGCGTCCTCGTCTCCCCTTCTCATGAGGACGCTGGTCACACTGGGTCAGGGCCTCGCTTTACCTTGACAATCTCTACAGCTCCACGCCCAAGTGCAGCCACACCCTGAGGTCCTGAGGGTCACAGGGTCACAGCTCCAGCATGAGGATTTGCCGGGACAGAGTTCAGCCTGTACTGAGCCGAACAGAAAATCCCCGGCACGCTGTCTCCTCCAGCCTCCAGACCACGGTGGGTGGGGAGGCAACATTTTACCTCTTGGGGTTTTTTGGTCGGGCCTGATAATTAAAATCAGCAGATGAGCTGGAGAAAGGCACACGCACTCCAGCACGGTCTGTGTGGCCGGGAATGGCCTTTCCTTCCTGAAAGAGGAGGTAACACCCCACGGGGAAGACGCTCTCCAGAGCCAGAAGAAAGCAGCGTTCTTATCCTTGTGGATGGCTGTTTCAGCTCAAAACAACCCTTACAACAGTGTGGCTTATTTGGGCAGCCCCTTCTGCCCCTTGACAGGCACCTCGCGAGCCGGCGCACCCCCCCGCCCCCAGGACCCGCTTCCCGCACCCGGGGCTCCTCAGCCAGGGGGAAGCAGGTGTGACCCCCAGGCTGCAGGCTCCCCTCCTTCTGATCTCTTCTTTTGAAGAGCCCACAGCCTCTCAGCACCCAGGAGGCCTCAGCTCTCTGGGCAAGTGGTGGGTGCAGGGTGGGGGCCTTGGCCTCACACACGCTCTGGCACTGCCTGGCCTCCTGGGACGGTTCCTCAGAGGCACCTGCTTTGGACACTCTGATGTCGGGAGCCCCGCGGATGCTGCCAGGATGGGAGAGGAGGCCGCTGTCTCTCTCCAACAAGTGCTGGGTCGTCTGGAGCAACAAGGGCAAATGGGCGTCACTGGGGTCTCCACAAAGCCACCTGCAGTCTCTTGGTGGGTGTATTAGACAGTTTCCATGCTGCTGATAAAGACATACCTGAGACTGGGTAATTTATAAAGAAGAGGTTGAATGGATTCAGTTCCACATGGCTGGGGAGGCCCTGCGATCATGGTGGAAGGTGAAAGGCACGTCTTACATGGCAGCAGCAGGAGAGAATGAGACCAAGCAAAAGGAGAAACCCTCATAAAACTTTCACATCGGATCTCGTGGGACTTATACCACGAGAACAGTATGGGGGAACCGCCCCATGATTCAATCACCTCCCACCAAGTCCCACCCACCACACAGATTCAATCACCTCCCACCGGGTCCCGCCCACCACACAGATTCAATCACCTCCCACTGGGTCCCGCCCACCACACAGATTCAATCACCTCCCACCGGGTCCCGCCCACCACACAGATTCAATCACCTCCCACCGGGTCCCGCCCACCACACAGATTCAATCACCTCCCACCGGGTCCCGCCCACAACACAGATTCAATCACCTCCCACCACACAGATTCAATCACCTCCCACCACACAGATTCAATCACCTCCCACCACACAGATTCAATCACCTCCCACCGGGTCCCGCCCACCACACAGATTCAATCACCTCCCACCGGGTCCCGCCCACAACACAGATTCAATCACCTCCCACCACATAGATTCAATCACCTCCCACCACACAGATTCAATCACCTCCCACTGGGTCCCACCCACCACACATGGGAATTATGGGAGCTGCAACTGAAGATGAGGTTTGGGTGGGGACACAGCCAAACCATATCAGTGGAGACGCGCAGGGGCTTCCGGCCCCCATACACTCCCACCTCCCACTGCCCTGTAGGACTCTCCTGGCTGTTCCAGAAGGGGCTTCCATTCTCCACGTTCCCTGGGGCCTCGTCCTCCTTGCCCTTCTACTTCCTCTTGGAGGGGCTGACCTTGGCCCTCCTGGGCTGACCCCAGCACAGCTGTGCCCAGAGTGTGAACGGAGCCCCCTGGCTCCCGACACTGCCTGAGGCCCTGCCGGGAAGTGTGGCTCCAGGAGGACGGGCTGGCCTCCCGGGGAGGATGCCCCCACCTGCAAGGGTTTGTCCACCACCCATAGCCACTCCTGGACTGGGGCAGACCCCACACCTCAGCATGGACTAAGGAGGCCGGCCAGGCTGAACCAAGCCTCACCCTTCCCTGGGAGAAAGGCCTGGGTTGGTGTCCCCAAAGCCACACCTCCTCATTTTTCTCATACCAGAGCTGACTCACAATAGAATTACCAAAAAAGAGGAATTCAAATGGAGCAAGGAAAGGAATAAAGAAATGAGGCAACGTATCATGGAGTCTTCACCCAGAGCCCCCCTTAACCCTCTCCTGCCTGGAGGGACAGCAGCCACCTGCCTAGAGGCGCAGTCCGTTCTCTTCTCCCAGGGCCTCCAAGTGGCCTCCCCCTCTGCATTCCTGGAGATGGCAGCACGTGGTGGTCTGTCTGCCCAGCACTCCTTGAGTGGACACACCTTTCCTGAGGTTATCACAGGGCCGGACTCTCACCTGAGGCACCACAGGTGAATGCCACTGTCAGAGCAGCGCTGCCCATCACCAAAGATGTCAACTGTCACCAGTGATGTCACCTGTCATCAGGGCGGTGCCACCTGTCAGAGCAGCGCTGCCCGTCATGAGGCGTCAACTGTCACCAGCGATGTCACCTGTCACCTGTCAGAGCAGCGCTGCCTGTCACCAGAGATGTCACTTGGCATCAGCAATGTGACCTGTCATCAGGGCAGTGCCACCTGTCAGAGCAGCATCACCCATCACCAGGGACGTCACTTGGCATCAGCAATGTCATCCTGCTCCCCAGGTGCCACCCTCCTCCCTGTACCCCCCACCCCTAATGCCCACATGTGCAATTCCCAGTGGGTACCACTGGAAAACCAAGGCAGTCCTCAGAAAGAATAAAACATCTGTTTTAATTGGCCAGTAAAATACATTGCAAATCATTAGTATTTTATAAACAGAAACATTAAGTTATAAATCCATGTTAAAAATTGCAGCTCAGTGCAGCCCCAACAGCTGTGTGTCCAAAAGTCTATTTTTACAACATTTTCCTCCAGTATTTTTGTGACAAGAAAGTTCCTATCTGCCATCTAGATCAAGAGCCTGAACTACAGTATTTTCAAACAAGAACCGGGAGAAGTCGGTACAAGGATACGTCGTGCTGTGTATTTAAACGGCGCTTCCCACACACCTGCCGTCTGCATCCCGGGAGGACGCCCTTTGGGAAAGGCCTCCTCGGCAGTGTGAGGTCTGGAGGGGTCTGCCTGGACCCCATTTTTAGGATGCTCCCCTCCCCAATAAAACAGCAGCCCCCGCCCCTGCCCTGCACAGCATCTGGGGGTTCATAACACAGGTGCAATACTGACCATGGGCCCTGGAGGGACGTCTGCACCCCGAAGCCCCTGTACCTCAAACTCAGAGTTTCTTCCCTTCTTTGATTTTCTGGAGGACCTGCAGCTGGCCTTCCTGAGACAGGCTCCATTCCTGTTCCATTTGCCTTCCCGGCAGCCTTCCCTTTAGTGGGTATAGGTTTTGACGTTCTGAGTTACTTTGTATCAAAGAGCTAATTAAAAATGGTCCTTCAAAAACATAAAGAAAAACAGCTTGAAAAATGTACATTTCTATTTTTAAAATCTTCAAACTTCCACGGGGGGTGGCAAATGTTAATTCTGATTTTAAACCCCATTCAACAGCAAAACGATGTGGGCTTCAACTGTGGGCTCCGCAGACGCCTGGAGAAGCTGGAGCCCACACCTTTCCCTCCAAGGGACTCTGTGGACAGAACCCGTATCCCCCAAGCACCAAGGACATCCTCAGACTGGGACTTCTGTGTAATTCTGCACCTCCCAGCCATAAAACTGACCCCTCAGCCAGGAATCAAACGAACCTCGAAAGTGGAACAGGGAGGCCGCCTCCCATGGCTGCCTGGATGGCAGGCACAGTGGGAGAGTAATGCTCTGAACCTCCCAATGTGATGAAGCCGAAAGCCGAGGCGGGGCCAGCAGGCCTCCCGGGCACAGAGCCACAGAGCCCAGCGTCACACGCACCGTGCACGCAAGACAGACGTGCACGAGACTGACGCACACACGGCCGGAGGTGCATGTCACAGTCGACTAGACGGGCCGTGGCTCCCTGAGGCTGGCTGTGGTGTGGCTAGGGCACAGCCCACACTTCCTGATCCTTCAGCTGATCCCCAGATCCCCACAAACAAGGAGCAAAAAGCACAGAATCAAATGACGACACGTTCCACAGGGCCAGGTGGGCTTTCTGCGGAGGGCGTGGCGGTGGTGGCAGCGGTTCTGGGAGAGGGAAACCCCAGCGCCACTTGTCTATGGGCCGGGACGGCGTGCATCTCACTTTGCCGGCTCTGCGCTCTTCCTTCTCTTCTCCCTCCCAAAGGCTGCGGCTTTGCATGGGCAGCTTGCTGGCGCCACTGGGCGCGTCCCGCAGACTTTAAATGGAATGAGTGGAGGTCTCGGACTGCTGCCGGATGTAGTTCTGGAAGCTCTTGTCTCCGATGGGGTGCTCCCTGAAAAGGGGGATGGGAGAGGGAATGAGGCACAGACCCCGTTGCCTGGTGCTCACCCGTGGCTGCGGGAGCTTTTCCTGTTCCTAAATGTGACACACTCACACTGCAATCCACACAAAAAATAGAGGAGCCAAAGGAACCACAGTGCCCCCGGAAGCACCCACGGTGACTCTGATGTGTGTGCACAGGTGGGTCAGGCGTGCAAGTACATGTGCACGTGTGCTCTCCCTGTGGCACGTGTGTAGCGCATATACATGTGCAGATGTGGAATATGTAGAGTGTATGGCACGTGTGCAGAATGTGCACATCTGCACTGCAAAGAGTGTGCTCATGTGTGGGGAGCATGAGCTCCAGGGACACAGATCTGTCCCAGTGCTGGGACACTCAGCAGGCGTGGGCACCTCCTCCCCACATGCACACCTCCCTCATACCATGTGTGTGCACCTCCTGCCATGTGTGTCCACTACCTCCATGTGTGTGCACCTCCTCCTACGTGCCTACCACCTCCATGTGTGCATCTCCTCCCACGTGTGTGCACCTCCTTCCACGTGTACCTCCTCCCATGTGTGTGCACCCCTCCGTGTGTACACCTCCCACGTGTGCACCTGTGTGTGCACCTCTGTGTGCCTCCTGTGTGCACCTCCTCCCATGTGTGTGCACCACCTCCCACGTGTGTGCACCCCTCTCGCATGTGTGCACCTCCTCTGTGTGTACCTCCTGCCACGTGTGTGCACACCTCCTCCCACGTGTGTGCACCTCCTCCCACGTGTGTGCACCACCTCCTCCCATGTGTGTGCACCTCCTGCTGTGTGCGCCTCCTCCATGTGTGCCTTCTCCCACATGTGCGCACCTCCTCCCACGTGTGCACCTTCTGCCATGTATGTGCACCTCCTCCGTCTGTGCCTTCTCCCACATGTGTGCACCTCCTGCCATGTGTGTGCGCCTCCTCCGTGTGTGTGCCTCCTCCCACGTGTGCACCACCTCCTCCCACGTGTTCACCTCCTCCGTGTGTGCACCTCCTGCCATGTGTGTGCACCTCCACCCATGTGTGTGCACCTCCTGCCATGTGTGTGCATCTTGTACCATGTGTGCCTCGTGTGCGCCTTCTACTACAACAAACAGCATCATGCTTCGCGCATTTTCAACCTGCTGGCTTTTGGCCATGAGGTTGATGGACCTGCTGATATCAACGAGGCAACATATTTGGAAGGCAAATGGGGCTGTCTCCCCAGAAGGGTGTCGAGAGGGATCTGATATGATGATGTCAGAGGTGAAGTCACAGCACTCAGGAGGTGTTGCAGGCTCAGTCCCCTGAGCAACTCGGTCCAAGTCCGGGCCACAGGGACCTGTCACTCTCCTGGAGCCTCACCACTGCCCTTCCCAGACCAGACCCGCATGGTGGAAGGAAGGAGGGGTTAAGAAGGAAGGAAGGGAAGGAGGGAGAAGAAGGGTGGAGGAGGAGAGAGGGAGGATCGAAGGGAGGGAGGACCAAAGAGAGGAGTGAGCAGGAGGATGGAAGTGAGGAGGAGGCTGTACAGCTACACAGGGCTCTAGGGCTTACCCGCCCCTGAATGAGCCCGTGTGGGGGCTTCTGCCATGGTGGACCTGGGTACCCACTGGATGGAGAGAGTGACACAGACACATCTGCTCACTCCAGGCTAAGAGCCAGCCTAGCACTTTACATAGTTTAAGTCAATCTTCCAGCAACTCATGAGGGTCTTACAACCCTCTGTTCCATGGAGTGAGGGGGAGTGGAGCTTAGCTAAGCGCCACCTAGCCTGCAGCTGGTGACTAAGCTGAACGTACTCAACCTCGCCACACCTGCCTCATGAGACAAGAGTGGGTTTCGTCCAGAGCTGGCCCTGCTCCCGGGCACCATGGGTGGCCTGGAGAGATGCCAGAGGGTGTGCCACTGAACCAAGGCAGAACAAGACCTGGGCCTAGAGACTGCCAGAGCACGTGACACCAGTATAGCAGAGAGGCTGGGAGGAAGCAGGTCAGGGAGGCAGCCCGGACGCTGGCTGGGGGCCTGGAGAGCAAAGGCAGCACCTGCTCTGAAGGAGGGACCAGCAGCGCCGGGCCACGTCCACTGACTACCGCCAGGTGCCAGCCCGGTGCAAGTGGGACTCTCCTCCCAGGCGGACACCTGAGCACGGGCGGCCCCACCCGGGAGCTCCCTGCAGCCCCACCCCCACTGCAATCTCCCGCCCACTACACTGGCCGTCCAGGGCAGGCACGGGAGTGGCACTCACTGGCTTCCATATTTCGTCTTCTTGAACTTGTCCCTCTTATACTGGGCGTGCTCCTGCTCCAAAGCCCCAACCCCAGCGATGACTTGCTTTAGCGTCTTGTAGGTCTCCTGGGGGTCGTCAATGACGAACGTCGAATACTCCTCCTGCTCCGGGCCGTCATACACAGATTTGCTCCCACAGGCCTCTGTGGAGGGCGGAGGGGTCAGCGCAGGGCAGGAGCCCAGGCCACCGGCCCCGTCTCCACACAGCTGCGTCGCTGCAGGCCCCACCCACAGTACACATCCTTCCAACGCAAGCTCCTCCAGAAAGGGCTGACCACCACTCGTAAACGCAGACGGAGATAGAAACCATTCCCGCAGGTAGGCGAGTTGTGCCCACACTGAGCCCAGGGAAAGCCCATTGGGAGCTGGATGCTGAGCAACCTCATTCACCTCTGAGGGCTCTGCTGCCCCTAGCTCCCAGCCTTGTCACCAATCAGCCATTCTCACAGGGGGATGTGCACATCTCTGCACGCCCCACCAGCCCGCCCAGCCAGAACCAGGAGGAGAGACACCTGCAGCTGGACGCTGGGCTGGCTCATGGGCCCTGGGGCAGCCCTGAAGAGTCAGCTGAGGGAGTGAGCACGATGGGGTTCAGCACATTTCACACCCAGCTGCCACTGAGCATGTCCAGCCAGGACAGGCCTAGCCCAGGGCTGGCCGAGCACAGGGCGGACACCAGTCTGTGCCGCAGCTTCTAAAGACCACTGCCCCGGACCCCACCTACGCACCGGGGCCACCTTCCTAATCGGACCACATCACTCCTGCTGAAGGCCATTCTGGTGCCTCGCCCCTAGCGGACAGCCATGGAACCCTTGAGCCAGGGCAGGGCCCTGTGCCACCTGAGTCCAAACACCTGAACCAGGTACACGTCTCTGCCTCACTGCTCACAGCGCCTGGGCACGCACTCCCGGAGCCAGCACCGATGCCCTGCAGCTGTGTCCATCTGGATGGAATGAATGTTTGTGCCCCCAAATCTGTGGGTTGAAATCCTAACTCTCAAGGGATGGCATCAGGAGATGAGGCCTTTGGGAGGTGACAAGGCGTGAGGGTGGAACCCTTGTGCAGGGGATGGGCGTCCCTATAGAAGACACCAAGGAAGCTGGCTTGCCTCTTCCACATGTGAGGACACAATGAGACACTGGCGGGCTGCAGCCCAGAAGAGGACCCGCAGTTAAACCAGCACTGCTACGCCCGGATCTCAAGCTTCTCAGGCCTTCAATCTGGGAAGTGAATTCCTGCTGTCTGTAACCACCCAGCCTATGGTACAATTTTTACGGCAGCCCAAACTCACCAAGAACTTGGTACTGAGAAGTGGCTGCTGCTGTACCTTCAAATGTGGACTGGCTTTGGAACTGGGTGCTGGGCGAAGGCTGAAGGGGTTTGGGGGTGCAGAGCGGAAAAGGCATGGCTGCCATGAATGTCCTTAAAGGACAATGCTGGGGGCTCGGGAGAGGAGAGCTGCAGAGAAGTCCTGTCTTAGGGGATATCTAAGTAACCCTGAACAGAATGGTGGCATGAGCATGGGTGGCAAGGCTGTTCTAACAACATCTCAGACAGAAAGGACGGCCATGCTACTGGACCGTGGAGAAAAAGCCATCCTCGTGACAAAGTGGACCTGTGTTCATGCCCTCGTGTTCTGGGAGGGTGGAACTCGCGAGTGATGACATCAGACACGTAATTGAGGAGATTTCTAAGCAAAATGCTGTGGGAGCGGCTTGGTTCCTCCTGACCGCTGACAGCAAAATGTGGGGAGAGAGATGATTTGAAGGTGGAATTGTTGAGCAAAAAGGAACCAGAACTCAAAGGCTGGTTGAGTTAAAAGATTTGAGAATTAAAATTCCAGCCTACCCATATCTCAAAAAAAATGAGACAGCATGTTTGGAAGAGACCATTAAGCAGGTGGCTGTGTGGCTATCTGATAAGGAGACAAGTGTGGGGCTGAGCCTTGGACTTGACCAACCATCTCAGCAACAGCCGGGAGCAGAGAAGGAACCGCACCAGCAGAGGCACTGCCAGAAGAAACCAGGAAACAGAGAAAACAGGATGAAATGAAGGCAGGCTGCGGTGTCTTAAGCCCTACAAGCCAGGCCATAGAGCTATTCAGCTGTGAACATGTGCCATTCTTCAAGACGAGGGAAGAAGGACCCTGAAGCGGGTAGGGCCATCAGAATGCCACTCTCACCCAGAATGAGTCCATGGACCATGTATCAGATGCAAAATTCTCAGCTGGAATATTGATTAAAAAATAAAACTGGCAATAACTAGAAAAAAAATCGCAATAAGGAATCTGTCCACCCAGCCATCACTCACCCATCCGTCCATCCACCCATCTGTCCATCTACCCATTACTCACCCATCCATCCCTCCACCCATCACTCACCCATCCATCCATCCACCCATGACTCACCCATCTGTCGATCCACCCATCATCACTCACTCCTCGGTCCATCCACCCATCACTCACCCCTCAGTCCATCCATCACTCACCCATCTGTCCATCCATCACTCACCCATCTGTCCATCCATCCATTACTCACCCATCTGTCCATCCACCCATCACTCATCCCTCGGTCCATCCACCCATCACTCACCCTATCCATCCACCCATCACTCACCCATCCGTCCACCTACCCATCACTCACCCATCCGTCCACCCATTCATCACTCACCCATCTGTCAATCCACCCATCACTCACCCCTTTGTCCATGAACTCAACACTCATCCATCTGTCCATCCACCCATCACTCACCCATCCGTCCATCCACCCATCACTCACCCATCCGTCCATCCACCCATTACTCACCCATCCATCCATCCACCCATCACTCACCCACCCATCCATCCATCCACCCATCACTCACCCTTTGGTCCATGAACCTAACACTCACCCATCTGTCCATCCACCTATCACTCACCCATCCATCCATCCACCATCACTCACCCATCCTTCCATCCACCCATCACTCATCCATCTGTCTATCCACCCATCACTCACCCTGTCCATCCATCCATCACTCACCCATCTGTCCATCCACCCATTACTCACCCATCCATCCATCCACCCATCACTGACCCACCCATCCATCCATCCACCCATCACTCACCCTTTGGTCCATGAACCTAACACTCACCCATCTGCCCATCCACCCATCACTCAACCATCTGTTAATCCACCCATCACTCGTCCATTGCTCCATCCACCCATCAGTCACCCATTGGTCCATCTGCCCATCACTCACCCATCTGTCCATCCACCCATCACTCGCCCATCTGTCCATCCACCCATCACTCACCCTGTCCGTACACCCATCACTCACCCTGTCCGTACACCCATCACTCACCCATCGGCCCATCCACCCATCACTCACCCATCTGTCAGTCCACCCATCACTCACCCATCTGTCCATCACCATCACTCACCCATCTGTCAGTCCACCGATCACTCACCCATCTGTCCATCACCATCACTCACCCATCTGTCCATCCACCCATCACTCAACCCTCGGTCCATCCTCTCATCACTCACCCTGTCCTCCACCCATCACTCACCCATCTGTTCATCCACCCATCTACCCATCCATCCATCCACCCATCTCTCACCCATCTGTCCATCCACCCATCACTCACCCATCCGTCCATCCACCCATTACTCACCCATCTGTTCATCCACCCATCACTCACCCATCCTTCCATCCACCCATCTCTCACCATCTGTCCATCCACCCATCACTCACCCATCCGTCCATCCATCACTCACCCATCCTTCCATCCACCCATCTCTCACCCATCCGTCCATCCACCCGTCACTCACCCATCTGTCCATCCACCATCACTCACCCATGCTTCCATCCACCCATCACTCACCCATCCGTCCATCCACCATCACTCACCCATCCTTCCATCCACCCATCACTCATCCATCTATCCACCCATCACTCACCCCAGTCCATCCTCTCATCACTCACCCTGTCCATCCATCCATCACTCACCCATCTGTCCATCCACCCATCTACCCATCCATCCATCCATCCACCCGTCACTCACCCATCCTTCCATCCACCCATCTCTCACCCAACCGTCCATCCACCCATCTACCCACCCACTCAGCTGCCTGCCCCGCCATCTGTCCAGCACACCCATCCAGGTGCTAGGCACTTCCTCTGTGCCAGGCCCAGGAAGGTCACTGCATATGGAAGCTGAGGAGATGGGAGATGGTTGTGACTTTGGTGACACAGGTGAGCCCAGGTGATGTGGTTTGGATTTGTGTCCCCACCCAAATCTCAGGTCAGACTGTAATCCCTAGTGTTGGAGGAGGGGCCTGGAGGAAGGAGAGGGGATCATGGGGACAGACTTCCCCATTGCTGTTCTCGTGATAGTGAGTTCTCACGAGGTCTGGTTGTTTGGACGTGTGTGGCATCTACCCCCATCTCTCTCTCTTGCTCCTGCATGTAGGAGGTGCCTCCTTCCTTCCTCTTTGCCCTCCCACCATGATCGAAAGTTTCCTGAGGCCTCCCCAACCATGCTTCCTGTACAGCCTGCAGAACTGTGAGTCAATCAATCTTCTTTTCTTTATAGCAACATGAGAACTAATACACCAGGCTATGGGGATGGTGAGGTTGGGAAGCGCCTGGAGGAAGACACTTCCAAGGTAAACAGGGTCTGCCAGCCTGATGCGCAAGGGTGTTCCCAGCAGAGGAAGAGCTGGAGCTGTGATGCGGGGCGCACGGCCTAGGAGGAGCTGAGCAAGGTTGGACAGTGGTGCAGGGAGCAAGCTGATCATGGAGGGCCTGGTCAGCATCTTTCAGAACCTGGGTCTTGTGTGTGATGACCTCACCCTCTCCGAGGCTCCCTGACTCTGGCCTCTGCTGTGTCGGTTCCTGCTATGAGAGGGCTGGGAAGAGGCTGGCTGATGCCAGACCCACTGTCTTGGCCACCCTGAGGCCTTGTGCCATCTTCACAGTATCCAGGGACCTCAGACCCAGGGACAGCACCTCGCACACTTGCTGGGGGAGAAGACGCTGTGGTGGGTGGTGGCCCATGAGTGTGTACATGTGTGGTTGTCTGCACATGTGTGTGCATGCCTGCACATGGGCCTGCACATGTGAGCGTGTTGTGTTCAACTGCACATGTGTGCAGGTATTGTTGCCTTGCCTGTCTGCACACACATGTACCTGTATGTTCATTTCACACATGTATTGCTGGGAACATGTGTGTACATGGCTATGCATACATGTGTATGTGCCTGTGTGTTAGTGTAGGCCTGGAACCCACGTACACCCAGGGCATGTGGGGCTGGAGAACAGGCGTGGCCAAGCTCACAGATGGGCAGCTGCACGGACACCCAGGGCATGTGGGGCTGGAGATCAGGCGTGGCCAAGCTCACAGATGGGCAGCTGTGCGGACACCCAGGGCATGTGGGGCTGGAGAACAGGCGTGGCCAAGCTCACAGATGGGCAGCTGCACGGACACCCAGGGCATGTGGGGCTGGAGATCAGGCGTGGCCAAGCTCACAGATGGGCAGCTGTGCGGACACCCAGGGCATGCGGGGCTGGAGAACAGGCGTGGCCAAGCTCACAGATGGGCAGCTGCGCGGACACCCAGGGCGTGTGGGGCTGGAGAACAGGCGTGGCCAAGCTCACAGATGGGCAGCTGCATGGACACTCAGGCAGGACTCATGTGTTTCCAGGCCAAGGCACACTTGACACTTCTGGGTTAAATCAGGGGAATGAAAAGAAGAAAATCTAACAGGCATAACTCCAGGCACATTCCGCTCTATTTCCATTCTGAGTGGGACTCAAGGGCCCTGTCATATGATCTCCAAGAGCAGATCCGAGTTCTACCAGACACTGGCATAGAAACAAACGCAGCTGCTTCACCCCCGTGGGCTTTTCTTGTCTCTGCCTCTCCTGAATCACAGACCTCAAACCACTGTCCCCATGTGGTCTAACTGGGCTTATCTGGATTGCTATTTCAATTCTGTAAAGCAATTCAATGTCACAGATAATGATACATACTGCATATAGATTTGAAACACACGGTGTGCCTGGCACTGTTTCAAATATATATGCAGTATCGTTATCTGTGACATTGAATTGCTTTACAGAATTAGATGGCATGTGTGTACCCACATATATGCATGCTGACACATGTGCCCAAAGACATACATGCATACTCACACGTGCCCTCATGTTTCCACACATGCACAAATTCATGCATGCTCACGTGTCCCCACACACACATGCTCACACATGTACCCACACATTCACTCTCATACATGTCATGTCCATACATTCACACACACTCACACACGTCCATTCATGCACTCACACGTGTCCACACATTCACACATGCTCACACATGTCCACATTCACACATCCACACTCATACATGTCATGTCCACACATTCACACACGCTCACACATGTCCACATTCACACGCTCACACATGCCTACACATATGCACACATCTCATACGTGTGTCCGCACACATGCAAGCACACTCACATACGTGTCCACACACATGCACTTATCCCTCTGGAAAACAAAGGAATGAAAAAATAGGTCCTCTAAAGAAACTTGGCAGTACAGAGGTTACAAGTTAAATTCCATCTAAAAATTATCTATAGAACCTATTATACAGGTAATTGTCCCCCAGATAGCTGCCTACCCTGCAAAAAGCTTTTCGCATCCATCCGTGCTACAAAGACAACTACATGTAGCCCACACTACACCAGAGGCTCAGACCACAGGTTTTCACCCCACAGCATGCTCCTGAGGCCGGGGCCTCGCCAGCCATCCCCTCGCTGCACAGATCTGTGTGCCGGGCAGACTCACCCTGCATCTTCTCCAGCTTGCTCATGTACAAGTTGAAGAGGGAGTAGATACGCTCCGTCTCACGGTCCCCATCAATGTCCAGCTGGATGTTGGCTGGGAGGCCGCTGTCCAGACACAGCAAGAACAGAAAGATAAAAACACTTATTTAAACGATGCTTTTAATAATGACATTCATTTTTAAAATGTCACTGAAGAAAGACAACGATTGTGTTGGAAGTGAAATTCGACAGGATCGATTTGCTGTCCGTCTGTGCACAGCCGGTGTGTTGGCTTGCTGAGCAAGGCTGACAGCGTCCACAGCAGCACGGACAGCAGTGTCACCAGGCTGCAAACCGGAACTAACTAGCAACCTCTGCTTCAGTTACCATTGGCCTATTTGGACACGTGGCAAAAGATCCTTGCTGTTTAGTATTTAAAATGTGCTTATCATTTGTACTAACTGACCTTTCCTGAAATCACGCAGTACTGAGTTATGTCTTGTTTAAATCTATTCCTACTCCAGAATCTTATCAATACATAAGAAATTTAGGAAGACTAGGTGCTAAAATCCCCAGTGTAATATGTAATACTTGTACATTTTTAGTATCATACAGAACTCAATTCCCAGGAACTATGAACACTCCAGACCTCATGTGGTTTATTCCTTCAGTCATTTCAAACACAGAAGGAGGCTGTGTGCTTGTTTCCCTGCTCATTCTATGTCTGCTTCTCCTATGTTCACACCAGCACACGTCAGGCTGGAGCGCGGTGGCACGATCTCAGCTCACTGAAACCTACGCTTTCTGGGTTTAAGCGATTCTCTTGCCTCAGCCTCCTGAGTAGCTGGGATTATAGGCACACACCACCACGCCTGGCTAATTTTTGTATTTTTAGTAGAGATGGGGTTTCACCATGTTGGCCAGGCTGGTCTTGAACTCCTGAGCTCAGGTGATCCACCCACCTCGACCTCCCAAAGTGCTAGGATTACAGGCGTGAGCCACTGAGCCCGGCCTCATGTCTTTTTATAAATCTTACTTTGTGTTATTATGAAAAACCTCCATAGCCGGGTGTGGTGGCTCACACCTGTAGTCCCCACACTTTTGGGAGGCCGAGGCAGGTGGATCATCTGAAGTCAGGAGTTCAAGACCATCCTGGCCAACATGGTGAGACCCTGTCTCTATTAAAAATACAAAAATTAGCCAGGTGTGGTGGTGCACACCTATAATCCCAGCTGCCTGGGAGGCTGAGGCAGGAGAATCGCTTGAACCTGGAAGGTGGAGGTTGCAGTGAGCCGAAATCACACCACTGCACTTCAGCCTGGGCAACAGAGCGAGACTCTGCCTAAAAAAAAAAAAAAAAAAAAAAAAAGAAAAGAAAAGAAAATCTACATTGTACAGAAGCACGTCTTTGATGGCTTCAGACAAAGTGGCCTCACGGTTAATTTCACATTTGCACGCAGGTGCAACCAACAGGGAGGGCCTGATAGGAACGCGCGGGGCTGTTATTTTTAGCAAAATGCTGCCTTGTGCAGAACGTGTGAAATATGCTCTTTAATTTAGTAAATACTTTTTAAAAGGCAGAAATGCTTATTATAGCTAAAACAATTCTTAAATCATAAAATTTCTGAAACGTCTGTAATTTTTTCCATACTGATTAGAAATTGTTTCCAACTTATTTTTGTTTGAAGTATGACAGTTTTTCCCTTTTCTTCCCAACTTCTCTTGTAAAAAAAGAAGTGGGTTTCTGCTAATGAACTGATCAGATGTCAATACTGTATATGCCTTTTGAGCTGAGTAGCTCAGTATTTGGATACTTGGTCATTTGTTTTATTAGGTAATTGATAAAATTGTGTCACTTATTCATGTTCAACCATATATTTATGCTGTCTGGGGATGGGTGGTTATAGTTCTGTGTGAGAAATAATTTGTCAGTCTTCAACAGCTTGTAAAAACTTTGCAGTGAGAGCTTAAACATCTAAATAAATAATGAAATGCATTTATCATAAAAAAAAGAAGAAAGAAGATGAAGTGACCAACATTAAAACACATCCCTGGCCAGTCAGGGAGTTCATGTGGGTAATCCCAGCACTCTGGGAGGCCGAGGCAAGAAGGATCGCTTGAGCCCAGGAGTTTGAGCAACACCACCCTGGGCAACATGGAGAGACCCTCACAGTGAGACCTGGCAACATAGTGAGACCCCGTCTCTACAAAAAACCAAAATTTAATGAGCTGGGCTGGTGGCATCAGCCTGTAATCCCAGCTACTTGGGAGAGTGAAGTGGGAGGACTGCTTGAGCCCAGAAGTTTGAGACCAGTCTGGGCAACGTGGTGAAACCCCGTTTCTACAAAAAACCTTAAAACAATTAGCCTGGAATGGTGGAGCACACCTGTAGTCCCAGGTACCTGGGAGGCTGAGGTGGGAGGATGGCTTGAGCCTAGGAGGTCGAGGCTGCAGTGAGCTGAGATTGCACCACTGTACTCCAGCCCGGGTGACAGAACGAGATCCCATCTCAAAGACATAAAACTAAAAAAGCATCCCCGAGCTGGGAGAACTGAGGCTGGCTGTGGGTGTGCGGGATAGGGGAGGCTCCCGAGCTGTCCGGCCTCAGCGGCTGGAGCCTCTTGGGACCCACAGATCTGCCAAGGCAGTGAGCAAACTCGGCAGACGTGTTCTCATGGAGATAAATGGCCTGGAAGGAAGCCTCCTGGGACTGTGTTCCCTGCACGGTCGGCTGCGGGTGGGGACAGGCCAGGTTTTCTCTCCTCGTCAGGCTGCAATGCTTCCCGCTGTCCTGGGATGCGAGGACATGGGAGAGCGCTGGCCTCTCCTGGGGGATTCTGGGGCGGTGGCCACGCATGCCTGAGCAGCAGCCAGGCCCCCTTCCTGAGCTTCAGCCTCTGTGTCCACGAAGCAGGATCTAAGGTCCCACCTCTGAGGCTGTGGGAGGATTAAACGGTGGCCCAGCATGGAGCACAGCTCATCCCCTGCAGGGCCCTTATGCGAAAGCATCACGTGGCCACAACAACAGCGAGGTGCATCTCACGGAGCATAACCAGGGGGACCGCCAGGCACCCAGGCCTCCTCCTTAGGACCGGCAGATATGACCCAAGCCTCTGTGCAACTGCCAGAGGCCCGGCTGATGGGGGGCCCTGCTGATGGGGGGCCTGACAGGGGGCCCAGCTGACGGGGGGCCCAGCTGACGGAGGACCCAGCTGATGGGGGCCCGGCTGATGGGGGGCTGGCTGACGGAGGACCCAGCTGATGGGGGGCCCGGCTGACGGGGGCCCGGCTGACGGGGGCCCGGCTGACGGGGGGCCCGGCTGACGGGGGGTCCGGCTGATGGGGGTCCGGCTGACGGGGGGCCCGGCTGACGGGGGGCCCGGCTGACGGGGGGCCCGGCTGATGGGGAGGCCCGGCTGATGGGGAGGCCCGGCTGATGGGGGACCCGGCTGATGGGGGGCCCGGCTAATGGGGGGGCCCGGCTAATGGGGGGCCCGGCTGATGGGGGACCCGGCTGATGGGGAGGCCCGGCTGATGGGGAGGCCCGGCTGATGGGGGACCCGGCTGATGGGGGGGCCCGGCTGATGGGGGGGCCCGGCTGATGGGGGGCCCGGCTGATGGGGGGCCCGGCTGATGGGGACCCGGCTGATGGGGGGCCGGGAAGACAACGGGCTGCTGCGTCATGTGGAATCAAGGTGGGTGTCCTGGGCCAGACGAAGCTTTCAGGGAGGGGCTTGCTCCCAGCCTCCTCCTAGAGAAGCAGGATGGCCACGGCCTGGGGAGTCCCCCTTCACCCTGACCTCCCGCTCCCCCGGGGCAGGGCCTCAGGAAGACCCTCGAAGGCCTGTGGCACCCTGGAGTCTGCGCAGAGCCTTCCAGAGGCTGGGCCCCAGATGCTCCCTCGAGGGAGGACCCCTCGGGTGGGAGGCTCCTGGGAGGAGGCGAGGGCAGCCCTGTTTATGTGCAGCTTACAGGCAGGCATGCACTGTCTGCTGGTCCCTCCCTACTCAGCCCCTTGGCCACATTTCCTGCACAGTGCACGAGCTGGGCACCGAGGCACAGACCTACCCAGTGCAGGGCGAGCAGCCCGGAGCCGAGTCGGATGGCGCCCTACAGCACAGCCAGTGGCCGCTCAGGTAGGCGGACGGGTGGTAGACGGTGAGGCGCTTCTGGTTGCACTGGCTCACTTTGGTGAGAATGTCGATCCAGTCCTTGGCCTCCACGCAGTTGTTGGCCTGGATGTACAGCGCACGCTCTGGCTGGATGACCTGGAACATCTGAGGACACAGGTGGGCTCAGGACAGCGCACATGAGGTCTCGTGGCTGAGCACGTGCAAGAGTCCACCAGGCACCTGGCCGTCCTCGCCGGAGTCGTAAGAGGGGACGCTGAGGGTGCACAGGCCCAAAAGTCCTGGAGCTCTAAGCCCCAGAAGAGGCCAAGGCCAGGGGGTGCATGGAGCTCTCTGCCACCCTAAAACCTGACAGCTGGGGCCGTGGGGAATGGAGGTGAGAACTGGTGCAGCTGGAGATGTGGCCAGGTGGCCAGGAACAGCTTGGCCAAGGCCCTTTATGTCCTGGAGCCTTGGAGGTCTCCATTCAAGACAAAAGAGGGGCCCTGTGGCCTCCCCACAAGGCCCTCCTGCAGCTGACTGCAGGCATCCCATCCACGTGGTGCTCGTGCTGTGTCAGCCCAGGTGGCCCGGCCTGCTCAGCTCCTTCCCCAACTGACCAGCCCAGGATTCTTCCTCCTCCTCCCAGCTGGGGTTAGGGGGCTGCTTCCTCTTGAAGCGTCTCGGGGCAGCAACAACCTTTACCATTTATTACTCATTCAACAAACATGACTGAGCACCAGCACTCTCCTATGTCCCGGAGACAAAGCCTGGCATAGAGTTTCTACTGAACCTGCAGCCACCAAGAAAGACTAAACGAGGGCAGGTGTCAGCAGAAGCTGGAAGTGAGCAGTCCTGGTGCTGTAGTCGGCGTTGACTCAAAGTTAGTTAAGCAGGGGGTGGGGGCAAAGGGTGTCAAAGGCAGAAGAAATGGGAGGCACAAAGGTCCTGGGGCAGGTGGGACAGGGGTCCTGTGATTGGAGGGACAGGTCTCCCGGGGCAGGAGTGACAGAAGCCTTAGGATTAGAGGGACGGGGGTGCTGGGGCAGGGGGGACAGATATCCTAGGATTGGAGGTCAGAAGCTCCCAGAAGGAGCCGGCTCTGTTGCACACAGAAGACAGGTTTTCTGAGTAGGAGACTGACTGGAGGTTGGGAGGGCTCTCATGTGGGACTTGCCCTTAAGTCAGGAGTCAGGGGGACAGTGGCCTTCTCTAGGGGACGGGCCTTCTGCACTCATCTGGGGAGGATTTGGGCTCCAGGTTTCTGGTGAACAGCTGAGGTCTTATTTACAGAGGCCAGGAGCCTCCCGCCTTGCACCCGGCACATGTGTATAGGTCTCGGACTGGACGCCCCCGTGCATGGCTGTGATCCCCCATGGAGGGCGTCCTGGCCATCATCCCAGGCTCGGCCCTGCCACCAGGAGCAGCCTTCAGAAAGGTCTCCCCAGCTGGTGAGAGCCTGGCCTGGCAGTGGCCTCAGGGGAATCGGGCTCTGAGGAAGTCAGTGGGAATGAACAGCTGGGAACAGGCGGCTGAAACTAGGGAATTATTGGGAATCTATGTGAAGGGCTGGAGGTGCTTCCAGGACATGTCCACACTGCTTCCTTCGAGGGACGGTCTCAGGGCCAGGTTCCGGCCATCCCCCTCAGTCAGCAGGCATTGAGCCCACACCCTCCTCTTCCCATCTCCCCCTCTTCCCAACCCTTCTCTTCCCAGCCCTCCTCTTCCCAGCCCTCCTCTTCCCATGCCCTCCTCTTCAAATTACTCTCCAAACTTATGCCTTTTGCAGGATCTGTCTGGACTGCCTGTGAATAACATGCTAGTAAAATTCTGCCAATGGTAAGGAACATGCGTCAACTTTGGCACGAGGCCCAGGGACTGTGCCTTCCCTGCAACTGTTCTATGACCCTCATGCTGCAGTCGGGGCACAGAAGGCTTGTCCCAGCCAGCATGTGTCAGGGTACGGGGTCAGCCTCAGGATGGCACGGACGGCGGGGTCACTGGCTGAAGGGGCACTGAGTCACCAGGGAGAACGTGGCCAGCGGCCGACTCTGGGAGGCCACCACACAATGGTGACGCCACGGACACCTCTAGGGGATTCCCGCCAGAAATGCATCATCAGAACCTGCCACGTCGGCACATCCGACAAACCCACAGGGAGGGATGTCCAGAAAACCGAAGGCCTGCACGCCTCAAAGATGCCAAGGCCACCACACACAAAGAAAGGCTGGGAGTGTCCAGTGGGCCAGACGGAGGGGGCAGCAGAATGCAGCGCAGACTGGATCCAGAGGGGAAGGAACCACAGCCGGAAGAACGGGACTGGACAGCGGCAAACTCGAATGTGGTCGCGCCGGCGACGTGCGATGGTGGCTGCTGTGGTTTTGGGGACTGCACGGTGGGAAACACACTTGGAAGTGTTGATACATTCAGAAAAGCACGGGCGGGACCGTGAAGGGAGAAGGAACAAGTGTGACTGGGGAACGAGGCGACATGTGGGTCCGGGTCAAGCGTGACCGGGGAACGAGGCCACACGTGGGCCCGGGTCAAGCGTGACCGGGGAACGAGGCCACACACGGGTCTGGGTCAAGGGTGTGTGGAAAGTACTTGTTCTACTCGTGCAACTTCTATAAATTCAAAATTATATCAAAATAAAAAAGCTTCCAAAAGGAATTCCAGACGGTCCCAAGCCTGCTTCTGGGATGTCTTTGACAGAGGGCCCCTTGACATTGGGGACCCTGCGGGGGACGCCACCTGAAGCAGCTCAGGCCCCACCTTCCGGCAGGTTCCACCCCACCCCGGTGACCCCGGGCACAGAGAGTGTGGCTGCTTTGATGCGAGATTCCGACACAAACTCACCAGCACCTGGTGAACAACCCGAGTAACACGAAGACTCTGAGAAGCCTGGAGTGCAGTGGGTGGGGAAGGGTGAGCCCAGGGCCAGGTACGGGAAGAGAGCAGAGAAAACCTGGCCAGGCCTCAACCCGAAAGAGAGGCTTGGGGGCCCCACACTCACGTTTTTCATTTTGAAAGACTCCTCCTCCAGCTTCTCCACTGCCAGGATGTTCTCGATGGGAATGCTGTAGAGAGGCTGGTCCCCTGCAGCAGAGATGGACTGTCAGTGGGTGCGGGCCCCGCTGTCCCGGCTGGGGTCCGGGTGGGGCTGAGGGGTCTCTGCCGGGGGGTCTCCCAGGGGGTCTTTACCGGGGGGTCTCTGCCAGGGGGTCTCTACCGGGGGGTCTCTGCCAGGGGGTCTCTGCCAGGGGGTCTCTACCGGGGGTCTCTGCTGGGGGGGTCTCTGCCAGGGGGTCTCTGCCAGGGGTCTCTACCGGGGGTCTCTACCGGGGGGGGTCTCTGCCAGGGGGTCTCTGCTGGGGGGTCTCTGCTGGGGGGGGGTCTCTGCTGGGGGGGTCTCTGTCAGGGGATCTCTACCGGGGGGTCTCTGCTGGAGGGTCTCTGCTAGAGGGTCTCTGCTGGGGGGTTCTCTGCTGGGGGGGGGTCTCTGCCAGGAGGGTCTCTGCTGGGCGGTCTCTGTTGGGGTGGTCTCTGCCAGGAGGGTCTCTGCTGGGGGGGGTCTCTGTTGGGGGTGTCTCTGCTGGGGGTCTCTGCCAGCTGGGGGTCTCTGCTGGGGTGCCCTGGGCCGGAGGAGGTGCCCCATGTTCATCTCCTTGGGGATGATGGCTGAATCACTGACAGGCTGCAGGTGCGGGGGCTGAGGAAGCCTGGGACCCACCTGGCCCTGCCATGCACCCAGGCTGGGCCCAATGCTCGCATCCTCACAGCTGCCGTGGCCTCAGGCTCTGTCCCCAGAACATGTTCCCGTTCTGGGACATGAACATGGGAGAAACTGCTAGATATTTCCTAATCTAGATCTGAGCCAGCAGATCTGACAGCGAGGGGCAGGAGGTGGTGGGAAGCCCCGTCTACCTCGGCGGAGCGGCACCCTGGCCATGACGAGGCGACCAGAGGAGGAAGGGACGTGGACAGAAAAGCACCTTACTGATGTGGTCAGCTCTGCGTTTACTGGTTCTCTGGGGAAGCAGATTTCCCTCACTTTCCAGCAGCAGGTCTGAAAGACCCCTTCAGGGATCTTTGAAGGGAGAACCAGAAGCAGAGGGCTCTGGGTCACCGCGGCCCCGGGCTCTGCCCGCAGCACTGAATCCTTCCTCCCCTCAGCTCTCCCCCTGAAAAAGCAGACTCAGTCCCAGGGCCCAGCACGCTCCAGCAAGAGCCAGGGAAAGCGACCTTGCTCCTTACCTTTGCTTTTGTGGTAGGTAAATTCATGGTTGGTCAAGCGAAACCATCTCTTCTTAAAATTCTTCATCCCAAAGCGCTTCCGTCCTTGGGCCCTCTTGATCATGAACCTGTGTGAAGAGCACACAGGGCCGGGGTCCGGGCCTCAGCTGCCTCCCTGCACAGGTGAAAAACCACACCCCCCACTTTCTGCGTTCTGAGACCTGAGGCAGGCAGTGGATTTTCAATATCTTATCATTTTACTCCGAGTGATGAGATTAAAATTGGAAGGCAATGCCTCTCCTTTGAAAAGTTGAGCGCTGACTGCTTTGAGTCACCAGTTGGTGATGGCACCAGGTTTTAGGAGATCTCCAACCCTCCTGCCTCCCACACTGAACTTTCAACAGTGGTGCTGCCACTGGAAATGCCAATGCGATGCTCCCACGGCGGACCTGCGGCCGTGGGCTCAGGGTCAGGGAGGGCAGCGGACGCCCACACAACACGGAGGACCTGCGGCCGCGGACCTGGGATCAGGGTGGGCAGTGGACGCCCACACAACATGGAGGACCCGCGGCCGCGGGCTCGGGGTCAGGGCGGGCAGTGGACGCTCACACACAGAGGACCTACGGCCGCGGGCTCGGGGTCAGGGTGGGCAGTGGACACTCACGCAACATGGAGGACCTACAGGCGCGGGCTCGGGGTCAGGGCAGGCAGTGGACGCTCACACACAGAGGACCTACAGCCGCGGGCTCAGGGTCAGGGCGGACAGTGGATGCCCACACAACACAGAGGACCTACGGCCACAGGCTCGGGGTCAGGGCGGGCAGTGGATGCCCACACAACACGGAGGACCTGCGGCCGTGGGCTCGGGGTCAGGGCAGGCAGCGGACGCTCACACACGGAGGACCTGCGGCCGCGGGCTCGGGGTCAGAGCGGGCAGCAGACGCCCATACTCAGAGGACCTGCAGCCACAGGCTTGGGGCCGGGGCAGGCAGCAGACGCCCACAAAACCCACACCTGTGTTGTGCGGGAGTCACGCACCAGCGCCTCTGCCAGACCAAACCTGCCCCCTCAGGGCCAGCCCTGCTGTGGTAGAAGGCGCCACTGGGCCACGTCCTCAGGAAACGTGGGGAGCAGGAGACAGGATGGCCACCGAGGATGCAAGGCCTCAGCGAGGAGGACCTCAAGCCTTGCCCTGGGCAGGGTCCTCGAACACCCTCCCGGCAGCCCAGGGCCCTCTGAGGCTCGGCCTTCATTGCCGGGCAGGGGTCCCTGACCAGAACCGGCGGCCGAGCTGGAGGAGAAGAAAGTGGCCAGACAGAGTGACTGGAGGACAGAGGTGGAAGCTGAGGACGAGAAGCCAAGCTGGAGAGACAGAGTGGGGAGGTGGGCGGGGGAGACGCACCTCGACAAGCGCACTCAGAAATCGGAAAGAGGGGCTTTGAGCAGCAACACAGCCAGATGTGGCCAGAGAGCTGTGGACGCACACCGGAGGGTGTGGAAGCTGCTGGGAGCTGTTCAAGAGAGAAAAGGGCGGGGCGCTGGGAGCCGCCAGGACAGCGCAGTTCACAACCAGTGGATGCCGAACGCCGTTCATTCCAGGGATTCACAGGCAGGAAGTCAGCCCAGGAGGCTGTTGAGGACCAGCAGGACCCAGTGGGATGCGCAGGGCGGGGCCTACACAGACGGGGGTTGGGGGGGGACTGGGAGCTCCACGACATGCCGGCCTCCTTGAGGGCAACAGGGCGCCTCTGAGAAGACTCTGGACCATGTAGCAGTTAGATTTGAGTAGCAGTCTTGTTATAAATGTTTTCGGCTTTAGGATTTTTTTAAGAACCCCAACTTTCTGAGGGCCTTCAGTGGATGAGGCTGCATGTGAATTTTATGTGCAGTTTCCAGGTTAAGGCAGCACTGAGTGGAGAGAAGCCAGTGGCTCCTCACTGCACAGCTCTGGTCTGGGCGCCTGGCTCTCCAGGAGTCGGTTTTCTAACCGGGCCCATCGCGCGTGTGGGACGGGGAGGCAGGAGCCACGGCTAAGCCGGAAGCCTCAGGCTGAAAGCAGCTCGGCCCCGCGCAGCCACGGCCAACTCAACTCAGCAAACACACGCTGCGCTGCAGAGGCCCCGTCCCCAGTCCTGTGTCCCAGTGGGTGAGGACACACACAGCCCTGAGAGACGGCAGAGGTGTGGGAGCATCTCAGCACAGGGTGAGCCCTCAGGAAACATGGTCATCACCACCCCCACACATGGACGAACATGGCAAGACACACTTGGCACCAAGGGCTGAGATGGCAGAACCGAGGCCCTAGGACGGCCCATGCTTGCACAACCGAGGGTGGCCCTAGGTTTGGGGATGTGACAGAGCTGAGGTGCCGGAGGAGAAGCTGATCCAGGGGCTGGAAACTCGAGGGCCTGATGGACCAAAACCTTGGTGTGAGTCGCAGGTGGTGCAGCTGCTGGAAGGAGCTGGTGGAGCCTCAGCTGCATCCAGGGCACCTGGGAGGCGCCTGTCCTTGAACCTCTGGCTGGTGGCACCTGGGAGGCGCCTGTCCTTGAACCTGTATCTACAGCAGCTTCTCGGCGTCAGACACACAAGCCCTGAGTGTCCTGTGTTGCTTTAGGGATTACAGGATGAATATCTGTTGCTTTGAAAGCTGTGAATTTATGAAATGTAGAAAGTAAAAAGTTTCCTCTTCAAAGTTTCCCTTCTTGTTAAAGAATAAATCATAAGTGTTAGAAATAATAGTTTCTTTTAAAGACTAACTTCCTTCAAGCCTCCTTGCTTTGTGCTAATAACTCTTTGTTAAGCTCTATCCTGTGTAGCTGTTGGACGTGCCCACAGGCTCGTAATATATTCTGTGTCCTTGTACCTTAACCAAGGCAATTGTGTTAGACGTACTCATAGGCATGTCCCAGCTCACAGCCTATGCCCCTTCCTTATTTAAACATATTATTATTTTTCTACCTATTTAAAAAAGTTTTAAATTATTAGCCAATCAGGTCTTAATTTAGATTGTGAGGTCCGGCTCCAGGCAATGGGGACAGGACACGACAACAGGAACCTCGTGCGTAAGGAATAAATATTCTGGCGTCTCTTTATTCTGTGTGTGCCCTTGCCATTACTCCTTCTGCCAGGGACACCCTTTCTGCAGAAAGTAAAAATTGCCTCGCTGAAAGAACTTTTTGTCTAAATGCTAATTTTTCCTTATGGCACCGAAGAACAAACATTTTGCATTTCTAACATGAAATGTGTGTATTGCAAATGTTATTGGTTAATATATGATTAAGTTAAATGAAGGTGATTTTAAGAAAAATAGCAATGTAAGTAATGCCACTGGGGTATGGTCCACCAGTGACCCAGAGATGATCCAGGTTTCAGCAGATGGCTCTAACAGAGTATCCACAAAAATAGACAAATGGGACTTAATTAAACTAAACAGCTTCTGCACAGCAAAATAAATAACCAACAGAGCAAACAGACGACCTGCAGAATGGGAGGATATTTGCAAAGCACAGATCCAACAGGGGACTAACAGCCACAATTTAGAAGGAACTCAAACAACTTAACAAAAAAAATAAAAATTAAAAAAAAATTTAAAAGTGGCCAAAGGACAGGGGGATAGACGTTTTTCAGAAGACAAATGGCCAACAAGCATACGATATAAAGCCCAGCGTGGCTCATCACCTGAGGAATGAGAGCCAGAGCTGCCTGTGACCCCACCTCACGCCAGGCAGAACGAAGCCACCTGCGACCCCAGCTCACGCCAGGCAGAATGGAGCCGCCTGAACCCAGCTCACGCCGGGCAGAATGGCTGGGATCAAATAAAACACGGAAAAATGACAGACGCTGCAGAGCTGTGGAGGACGTGAGCGCTTGCACGCTGTGGGGAATGGAAATTAGCGCTTAAGGAAACCCACGGAGATTTCTCAAGAAGCTAAAGGCAGAGCTGCCATTCGATCCAGCAATCCCACACCAGGCCCCACCCAAAGGAAGAGCAATTACCAAAAAGACACCTGCATGCGTACGTTTACCGCTGAACCACTCACAACAGCAAAGACACGGAATCCACGTGTCCACCAACGGACGACTGGATAAAGAAAACGTGGCATAAATACACCACGACATGCTACTCCACCATCAAGAGGAAGGAAATCTTATGTTTTCCAGCAACGTGAACGGAACTAGAGGTTGTTATCTTAAGGGAGATGACTCAGAGACGAAAAGCCAAACGCCCCATGTTCTCACTGGTCCATAGGAGATAAACACGGAGGGGCGGGGCGCTCTGGGACACGTATTCGGAATCACAGACTGAGGCCTCGGAAGGGTGGAGGTGGGAGCGGGAGAGGAATGAGAAATTACTCAGTGGGCACAAAGTGCCCGTTCAGGTGACGGTTTCACGAGAAGCCCCATCCAATACAACTGCACTTGTGCCCGACATGTTGGCAAACACATAAAAAATACAGGAACATGGTCCACACCAGGCAGAGCAAAGCCCCGAGCGGGAGTGGGAGCCGGGCCACAGGACGGGGTTGGTGGAAACGGGCAGACGTGTCAGTTATGTAAGGAAGGTTGATGGGCTCTGATGCTCCAGGGACCTCTGGGTGGAGGTTGAGGGAGGACAGGCCTGTGTCAGAAACACGGGGTGGCTGTGGGACACAGACGTCCCCCTCCAAGGTCACCGAGAAGGTGGCAGAGGGGTCCCAGGCTGAAGGCGCAGGGGCCAGACCCCCAGGGCTGTCCCCTCTGACTCTGGTTCCCTGAGCAAAGAGCCCTCGGGAGCCTGGAGGGAAGGCCAGCCCCAAGTGCGGGTGTGGACAACACGGCCAGTGGTACAGAAATCACAAGGCTGCTGGCCAGCAAGGGAGGAGGCTGCCCCCGACTAGGGAATCTTCTGGAATGTGCTGGGTGCTCTGGGGACTGGGGGCCCCCATCCCTTTCTCCCCTCCGGCCCTGCCGGATGCCACCTTACCCTTCTCCCCCCTCCTGCCCTGCCGGACACCACCTTACCCTTCTCCCCTCCTGCCCTGCCGGACGCCACCTTACCCTTCTCCCCTCCTGCCCTGCCGGACACCACCTTACCCTTCTCCCCCCTCCTGCCCTGCCGGACGCCACCTTACCCTTCTCCCCACTCCTGCCCTGCTGGATGCCACCTTACCCTTCTCCCCTCCTGCCCTGCCGGACGCCACCTTACCCTTCTCCCCTCCTGCCCTGCCGGACGCCACCTTACCCTTCTCCCCCCTCCTGCCCTGCCGGACGCCACCTTACCCTTCTCCCCTCCTGCCCTGCCGGACGCCACCTTACCCTTCTCCCCACTCCTGCCCTGCTGGATGCCACCTTACCCTTCTCCCCTCCTGCCCTGCTGGACACCACCTTACCCTTCTCCCCTCCTGCCCTGCCGGACGCCACCTTACCCTTCTCCCCACTCCTGCCCTGCCGGATGCCACCTTACCCTTCTCCCCTCCTGCCCTGCTGGACACCACCTTACCCTTCTCCCCTCCTGCCCTGCCGGACGCCACCTTACCCTTCTCCCCCCTCCTGCCCTGCCGGACGCCACCTTACCCTTCTCCCCACTCCTGCCCTGCCGGACGCCACCTTACCCTTCTCCCCACTCCTGCCCTGCCGGATGCCACCTTACCCTTCTCCCCTCCTGCCCTGCTGGACACCACCTTACCCTTCTCCCCTCCTGCCCTGCCGGACGCCACCTTACCCTTCTCCCCCCTCCTGCCCTGCCGGACGCCACCTTACCCTTCTCCCCACTCCTGCCCTGCTGGACGCCACCTTACCCTTCTCCCCACTCCTGCCCTGCCGGATGCCACCTTACCCTTCTCCCCTCCTGCCCTGCTGGACACCACCTTACCCTTCTCCCCTCCTGCCCTGCCGGACGCCACCTTACCCTTCTCCCCCCTCCTGCCCTGCCGGACGCCACCTTACCCTTCTCCCCACTCCTGCCCTGCTGGATGCCACCTTACCCTTCTCCCCTCCTGCCCTGCTGGACACCACCTTACCCTTCTCCCCTCCTGCCCTGCCGGACGCCACCTTACCCTTCTCCCCACTCCTGCCCTGCCGGATGCCACCTTACCCTTCTCCCCTCCTGCCCTGCTGGACACCACCTTACCCTTCTCCCCTCCTGCCCTGCCGGACGCCACCTTACCCTTCTCCCCACTCCTGCCCTGCCGGATGCCACCTTACCCTTCTCCCCTCCTGCCCTGCTGGACACCACCTTACCCTTCTCCCCACTCCTGCCCTGCCGGACACCACCTTACCCTTCTCCCCACTCCTGCCCTGCCGGATGCCACCTTACCCTTCTCCCCTCCTGCCCTGCTGGACACCACCTTACCCTTCTCCCCACTCCTGCCCTGCCGGACACCACCTTACCCTTCTCCCCTCCTGCCCTGCCGGACGCCACCTTACCCTTCTCCCCTCCTGCCCTGCCGGACGCCACCTTACCCTTCTCCCCCCTCCTGCCCTGCCGCCCCCCTCCTGCCCTGCCGGACACCACCTTACCCTTCTCCCCTCCTGCCCTGCCGGACGCCACCTTACCCTTCTCCCCCCTCCTGCCCTGCCGGACGCCACCTTACCCTTCTCCCCTCCTGCCCTGCTGGACGCCACCTTACCCTTCTCCCCTCCTGCCCTGCCGGACACCACCTTACCCTTCTCCCCTCCTGCCCTGCTGGACACCACCTTACCCTTCTCCCCTCCTGCCCTGCCAGACGCCACCTTACCCTCCTTACCCTTCTTTAAGCACGATGGGCTGCTCAACACTCTTGGGGTCTCTTCTCCCCGAGGACGAAATCAGATCCAAGAACTAAAGTTGGAAGAAATCAGGTCACCGGGAGGAAGCCACACATCTGACGTGCACGGCTCTCTGTATAACAACAGCGTCGGCGGCTACTGCCTCCTTTGTAATACCAGTGGAGACAGAATCTGGGCAAGTGAGTCCTTCCCCGAGGGCTGTGGGGCCTCTGCTCCCCACTGTGCCACCCCAGCCCCGGCACTGCCACAGAGATCTCAGGTGAGAGGCCGGGCTCAGGCAACACCTGGGGATCAACCTGCATCTCCAGAGGCCACCCAGGGGTGACTCTAAGCAGGGAATCTGGGTCCCGGTAGTGAGGAGGCTCAGGCATCCCTGACTGTGGGGAGGAGCAGAGCCCTGGGGCCTGGAGGTTGCCCCCACGCACCGCGTTCCTGACTGTGGGGAGGAGCAGAGCCCTGGGGCCTGGATATTCCCCCCACGCACCGCGTTCCTGACTGTGGGGAGGAGCAGAGCCCTGGGGCCTGGAGGTTGCCCCCACGCACCGCGTTCCTGACTGTGGGGAGGAGCAGAGCCCTGGGGCCTGGATATTCCCCCCACGCACCGCGTTCCTGACTGTGGGGAGGAGCAGAGCCCTGGGGCCTGGAGGTTGCCCCCACGCACCGCGTTCCTGACTGTGGGGAGGAGCAGAGCCCTGGGGCCTGGATATTCCCCCCACGCACCGCGTTCCTGACCGTGGGGAGGAGCAGAGCCCTGCGGTCTGGATGTTCCCCACACACCGCGTTCCTGACCGTGGGGAGGAGCAGAGCCCTGCGGTCTGGACGTTCCCCACGCACCGCGTTCCTGACTGTGGGGAGGAGCAGAGCCCTGCGGTCTGGACGTTCCCCACGCACCGCGTTCCTGACTGTGGGGAGGAGCAGAGCCCTGGGGCCTGGAGGTTGCCCCCACGCACCGCGTTCCTGACTGTGGGGAGGAGCAGAGCCCTGGGGCCTGGATATTCCCCCCACGCACCGCGTTCCTGACTGTGGGGAGGAGCAGAGCCCTGCGGTCTGGACGTTCCCCACGCACCGCGTTCCTGACTGTGGGGAGGAGCAGAGCCCTGCGGTCTGGACGTTCCCCACGCACCGCGTTCCTGACTGTGGGGAGGAGCAGAGCCCTGCGGTCTGGACGTTCCCCACGCACCGCGTTCCTGACTGTGGGGAGGAGCAGAGCCCTGCGGTCTGGACGTTCCCCACGCACCGCGTTCCTGACTGTGGGGAGGAGCAGAGCCCTGCGGTCTGGACGTTCCCCACGCACCGCGTTCCTGACTGTGGGGAGGAGCAGAGCCCTGTGGTCTGGATGTTCCCCACGCACTGCGTTCCTGACTGTGGGGAGGAGCAGAGCCCTGCGGTCTGGATGTTCCCCACGCACCGCGTTCCTAACTGTGGGGAGGAGCAGAGCCCTGCGGTCTGGATGTTCCCCACGCACCGCGTTCCTGACACTGAGTCTGCAGCCCCAGGGCTCCACGACTGCAGCCTAGAGTGAGTCCGGCCACCACACACACTGAGGTGGGACGCGCCCTCATTCGGGGGGCTCAGACACAGAACAAGATGGGCGAGGGCCCCGTTTTGGCCCCAAAGGCAGTCACGCCAAAGAGTTTACCAACTGTGGGAGGAGGTGTCCCAGGACTTGGGACAAGGCTGTCTGGACAGCGCTGTGAATGCACCGAACGCCTTTATTGTTTAAAATCGCTAATGGCCAAGTCTGTGTCATGTGGGTTCTATCTCAATTTTAAAAGAGAACTCCGTCTCCTGAGCACGGCACACGGGCGGTCGGAGGGTGAGTCGATACTTACGTTCTTCACCGCATCAGCATATTTCTGCTCATTGAAGAATTCATAAAATGTAGCCATGTAGGACTCCTTAAAACTCGCCTAAAATGAAACGGAGATCACTCGAGGACAGCCCGAAGTACCTCGGCTCACGGCCCAAATCTGAAAAAGCTAGAGGCAAGAACTGTCCAAGCCTAAATGACGATAAACAGGCAAAGAACCCGGTGTTACCGGGCAAGTGAGAGCCCGCAGGGCTGCCCGGAGGACGAATCACATAAATCGCTCAGGCGCCAACGAAGACCATCAGACCTGCCAGTGCCCGTGAGGTCTCCAAGCACCCTTTGGCATCAGTGACTCCGTCCTGGCCCCGGGCTGTCCCTCACACCTGGGTCCCAGGCTCATGAAGAGGTACGTTGGGGCCCAGATGTGGCTGCCTGGGAACCTGGAGTCATAGGCCAGGGTCCCAGAGCCCCCACGCCCATCTCTCGCCCGTGGGGCATAAGGGCCGCTCTGAGGTGGGAAGAGGGGGCAGGGACCTCCATCACACGGGGAAGTGGAGGCACCCAGGGATTCGGGGGGGCCTTTGCAGCCACCATTCCTGAGGCTCGACCCCAAGTTCCTGTTGTTTCCACACTGAGGTCACTGCACAGTTCCCTGGCTGTGAAATGAGGTGGGTTTGGTGCAGACCTCGGAGGAGGCTCAAGTGCCTGTTATGGAGTTTCCAGCCCACAGCGCAGGGCCTGGCTGGTGGGAAAGAGCGGTCGGTGCACCTCGGCCTGCCTGCGAGTGTGGCACATCTTTTACTCACTCGGACTCAGAGAAACCCAACGTTTGCCCCAAGCGGGCTGCTCCTCCAGTGGGGGCCTCTGCTCCCCAAAGCCCTCATTTCTACCTGGGCCCCACCAAGAACAGGGAACCAGGAGGCCTGGGCATCTGTGCACCACAGCCCAGCCCTCTCCAGACGGAGCCCCGAGGGGGCCCGAAGGCATCGAACTGCCCTGGCCTGGCCCCTGCAGAGACAGCCTTGGGCCTCACCAGGAGCACTGCCCCCGGGACGCCTCAAACGTCAGCTCTGACCCCCTCAAACACACAAGGTGCTCTTAGGGGGAAATGGGGCAGATGCCTGAGGGACTCCTGACCTGGTGGCACCAGATCCAGTCTGAAGGGACGAGGATGGAGGACGGAGGTTCATATCCACAGGGAGAGAGGGGCCCTGGGAGGAGGGGGCCGCGTGGGGAGGGGAGCGCCACGTTGGGAGGAGGCGGCCGCTTGGGGAGGAAGCGCCACGTGGGGAGGAGGCGGCTGCGTGGGGAGGGAAGTGGGGAGGAGGGGGCTGCATGGGGAGGTAGTGCAGCATGGGGAGGAGGGGGCCATGTGAGGAGGAGGGGGCCGCGTGGGGAGGTGGGGAGGAGGGGGCCGCGTGGGGAGGAGGGGGCCGCGAGGGGAGTAGGGGGCTGCGTGACGAGGAGCCTCCAGCACCGCAACGCCCAGGAGGCGCCAGGTTAGGCCATCTGCCTGGCCTGTTCAGCCGCTTCCCACACCTGACAGGTCAGATGCTGCTCCTGCCACGGGGCCGGCGACGAGCCACAGGCTCCCGAAAAAGGCAAGGGGTTCACTTTAGGAGGGGAGAGGTGAGCGGGACGGGGACGCTCAGGTCCTGGGTTTCAAGAGAGGATGTGGTGCCGGCTTTGATTCTTGATCTTTATCTTACGACTCTCTCAAATGTGGGAGGTTTTTCACGTGTATTTTCTGAAGAGAGAAAAGAATCAGTTGTCCCTAAAAAGAGAAAATGAAGAAGAGGGACTCACAGATTTGGACTTGGACAGGCTGCCGAGGGTCTGAACGGTCTTGGAGATCAATGTCAGCGTCCTGGACGTCTGGGGGTCCTGGGGAGGCGGGAGCAAGAAAGGTCTATGTCAGCATCACAGAAATGCTGTGACTGTCCCAGATCGAGGGGACGAAATGCAGGAGTCACCTCAGAGCTGCTGTGGCTTGTGCATGAGCTACGGAGAAACAGGGGTAGCGACGCAGATGGGACTGGAGGGGGTGGGCGTCCCACAGTCTCAGGAGCTGCTGAGACCATCCCGCAGGCAACATCCGACGGCACCGCGGTGACCCACTCTCTCGGCCCAGCGTGCAGGGTGCATCTCAAAGTCGAAAGCATCAGGTGGGGTCATGGCTCTGGGGCGCTGAGTCTCGGGGTGCTGAGTCTCCTGGCCCTGCCTGGGGCTCATCTCAGCCTTCACAGGGTTTGAAGGTTCAACTCAGAAGTGCTGGGGGCCGGGCTTGGTGGCTCACGCCTGTAATCCCAGCACTTCGGGAGGCCGAGGCAGGTAGATCACTTGAGGTCAGGAGTTCGAGACCAGCCTGGCCAACATGGTAAAACCCCATCTCTAATAAAAATACAAAATTAGCTGGGCGTGGTGGCGCACGTCTGTAATCCAAGCTACTAGGGAGGCTGACGCACGAGAATTGCTTGAACCCAGGAGGCAGAGGTTGCAGTGAGCTGAGATGGTACCACTGCACGCCAGCCTGGTGACAGAGCAAGACTCTGTCTCAAAAAAAAAGAAGTGCTGGGGAATGGGCAATCCCTCACGTCCTCTCGCCCTGGCCATCTCCTTCCAGCTCTGCCACCCGCACGTGCAACACGGTCACCCCAGATCCCTGTACCCTGAGAGCTGCGGCCCCAGCAACCACATTGGGGCCTGGAGAAAATCAGTGCTAAATAGGAATCTGTTGACTCAATACACGGATGATACGCCGATCATCAATACTCCATATGTGATGGGCAGGGGAGGAGAGCAGGGCGGTGACCAGCAGCTAAAACCCTGGACAAACCGTCCACTGCTTTTGTGACACTGTCTCGACTCCCCCAGAACGTACACAGCTTAAATAGGTCGGTGAACCACCTGCAACGAGGACGTTCCAGGACCCAGCGCATCCACCAGCACTCCCCACGCACCGTCCACACACTCCACACACACTCCACACGCACTCCCCATTCCACACACCTTCCACACTCCCCGTGCACCGTCCACACACTCCACACACACTCCCCATTCCACACGTCTTCCACACTCCCCACTCCCCATGCACCGTCCACACACACTCCCCATTCCAAACGCACTCCCCACTCACTCATTACACACACTCCCCACGCATTCCACACACACTCCTCATTCCATGCACACTCCCCATGCATTCCACACACACTCCCCATTCCACACACACTCCTCATTCCACGCACACTCCCCACTCACTCCTCATTCCACACACACTCCCCATTCCACACGCCTTCCACACTCCCCACACACTGTCCACGCACTCCACACACTCCTCATTCCACACACACTCCCCATTCCACACACACTCCCCACTCACTCATTCCACACACACTCCCCATTCCACATGCCTTCCACACTCCCCACGCAGTCCACGCACTCCACACACTCCTCATTCCACAAACACTCCCCATTCCACACACACTCCCCACTCACTCCTCATTCCACACACACTCCCCATTCCACATGCCTTCCACACTCCCCACGCAGTCCACGCACTCCACACACTCCTCATTCCACAAACACTCCCCATTCCACACACACTCCCCACTCACTCCTCATTCCACACACACTCCCCACTCACTCCTGATTCCTCACACACTCCCCACGCATTCCACACTCCACACGGTCGGCCCCCTACAGCCACGCAGATGCCCCAACCCAGGCCGGCGTCGCAGGACAGCTCAGAAAGCCTCGGTCCCTCAGCCGGTCACTCACCGTGTGGTGCGGCGTGAGCTGGAAGAGGTTGGGGGAGAGAATGGCGGGCGCAAAGAACCTCAGGAAGATGAAGCTGCTCACTGCAGTGTACCTGACGTCCGGGTCATCTGCGGGAGAGAGAAGCAGGGTGACCGTTTTCCTCGGGCACAATGGCCTCGTGGGGACACCATGCCCCGGCCCCCTGAGGGTCCGCAGGGAAGTCCAGCCACAGTCCTGGCTCTATCTCCACCTGTGTCTGTCTCTCTCCCTCTCTCTGTTTCCCTCTCTCCCTCTCTCTGTTTCCCTCTCTCTCTCCATCTCTCTGTCTCTCCCCCTTTGTCTCTCTCCCTGTCTCTCTCCGTATCTCTGTCTCTCTCTCTCTCCCTCTATTTGTCTCTCTCTCATCTCTCTGTCTCTCTCCCTCTCTTTGTCCCTCTGTCTCTCTCCCTATCTCTGTCTCTCTCTCTCTCTCTCCGTCTCTGGCTCTCTCCCCCCCTCCATCTGTCTCTCTCTCTCTCCATCTCTTTGTCTCTCTCCCTCTTTGTCCCTCTCCCTGTCTCTCTCCCTATCTCTGTCTCTCTCTCTCTCTCCCCCTCTCTCTCTCCGTCCGTCTGTCTCTGGCTCTCTCTCTCTCTCTCCATCTCTCTGTCTCTCTCCCTCTCTGTCTCTCTCCCTAACTCCATCTCTCTCTCCCCGTCTCTTTCTCTCCGTCTGTCTCTCTCTCCATCTCTCTGTCTCTCTCCCTGTCTCTCTCCCTATCTCTGTCTCTCTCTTTTTCTCTCTTTCTCTGTCTCTCTCTCTCCGTCTCTCTCTCCCTGTCTCTATCTCTCTGTCTCTCTCTCTCTCTCTCCGTCTCGATCTCTCTCTCCATCTCTCTCCGTCTGTCTCTGTCTCTCTCCATCTCTCTCTCTCCGTCTCTATCTCTCTCTCCGTCTGTCTCTGCCTCTCTCTCCGTCTGTCTCTGCCTCTCTCTCCGTCTCTCCCTGTCTCTCTCTCTCTCTCCTTGTCTCTCTCTGTCTCTCTCCTTCTGTCTCTGCCTCTCTCTCCATCTCTCCCTGTTTCTCTCCATCTCTCATCACCACCACACAGCGCAGCCCCTTTGGTGTCTCATTCCACAGTGGTCTGTGCTCATCTGGGTGAGAGGATGTGTTTTATCTCTTCACTTCCACCTTGTTCAAAGTGGGTCTGGGGCTGGGATGTGCTTGGGAACTGCCTCCCCCAGAACCCTGGGCCCCTCGGCCGGCGCTGTCTGACTGTCTGATGTCCTGAGAATCAGGGGTGGGGACAGCGTTTGTCTCCTGGGGACACAGAAGCGTGGACGGCTCTGCAGGACCATGGCCACCCCGGGGTGTCTGCAGCTGTCCCGAGGCCACAGGACACGCAAGGAAGAGAGGAGCCGGCAGCAAGGCCCTCGCTGAGCCTCTCAGCGCCCCATACATAGCCTGAGTCCTGGCGGGGTCTTGAGTATCGCAGGTGATGGGTGGGTGCAGGCACCCAGCTCCTCCCTGAGGGTCGGCAAGGTTGAGAAGTGGGGTTTGGGTGCTGGATGCCCAGGTCCCTAGGGGATCTCCGGCTTGGGGGTTTGAAGAAAGGGCAGCTCCCCCAGGGGTCCTGTCTCTTCGAAGACACGGGCAGGCAGAGCCCCCAACACCACTCTGGGCCCTGCCAGGGTCGGCCACAAAAAGAAACCACTGGGAAAACCCAGGGGTCCACATCAGGAAAATTCACATTCCACCCCGACAAAGCCTGGCCACCCTTCCCGGCCCCCCCAGAGACCACTGTGGTCGTGAACTCCAGGGCTGGGCCCCTCTAGAGACCACTGCGGTGGTGATCTCCAGGGCTGGGGTCCCCTGGAGACTACTGTGGAGGTGAACTCCAGGGCTGGGGTCCCCCAGAGACCACTGCGGTTGTGAACTAGGGAACACTGGCCCGGGCACAAACCCCGGAAAAATCCAGCATCGGAACTGGGGTTCACGACCCCGCAGTTCTAGTCTAGCCAGGGCTGCGGGGGGTTCTGCCTGGGTGGGAGTCACCCTGCACAGCGCTATGGCAGTTTCTCAGCAACATGAGGGTGTTCAGGGCACTCACCCTGGAAGCGCTTGGCCGCCGCCTCCCGGAGGGAGAAGAAGATGTCACACATGACGGTCGGGCAGCTCACCCCAGACTCAGTGATGGCGTGGAAGACGCGGTCCACATACTGCCGTAGGTTCTCCTGCAACGGGACACGGCACTGGGACCCACTCCCGAGGCTGCCCACAGGTGCGTGTAGCACCAGGGCACGCCCAGGGAGGGGCGCGTGGGGAGGGGCTGAGGGCGGGCGCAGGGCAGCTGCGGCAGTGAGACACGTGTGAACAGCCACTCCCTGGAAATCTGTGCTGGGAGCTGTGGCAATTCACGCGTGAAAATCACTACACAGGCACCACGTCGGCTCCCCGGCTCGGCCCCGACCTCGTTTACTGAGTGGGGAATGGACGTTCACTAGAATGTGCCTGCCCAAGGCAAAGAGCTCTGTCATTTACATACAGAAATGACGAAACAGCACGCTCTGCAAGAAGTATCATGTGAAGTGACTAAAATGTTGGAGCAAGTTCAACATCAGGGAGTTTTGCTGTTTTAAAACGCAGTACACAGCTCTGGGGACAGCCTGGGGAGGCAGGGAGGCCATCCTGTCCTAGGAAAAGGGAGGGGCAGGAGCCATTGCCCAAGGGAAGGAGGAGCCGGGGCGGAGGCAGAGCTGGTCAGGATTGTCCAGGGGAGGCAGAGCAGGGTGTGCAGGGCAGACCCTCCGGGGGGGCAGAGCTGGGGCATGCAGACCGGATCACTCCAGGGGAGGAAGAGCTGGCCGGGACCCCCCAGGGGACGCAGAGCCCGGCACACAGGCCAGGCCAAAGGTGGTGGCTGAGGCCTCCCAGTAGTGCAGCCAGCGTACTGCAGCCGGGTGAGGCGGGTATCCCCACGCCTGGTCCTGCTCCCACCCCAACCGGGGTCACGGGGTGAGTCAGAGCTTCCAGGCAGCCATCGGCTGAAAAACCCCAAGCAGGTGACTGGCTTTGGTTGGTTCATGAACAAAACCTACCATGTTGTTTTCAAGGTTTTCTCCGTCTTTCAACTTCACAGGGTCGATTTCACAGGGTTTGTGGCTCTGGCATATCTGGGGAGAGGTTTAAGACAGGGCTCTGTGAGTGGGTTCTGGGGGCACAGGCAGGGAGGGTGGAAGGGGTCTCAGGCCTGGCTGAGATGTAGACCCTGAGCCTCATCCAGAAAATGCCACGACAGCTCCCCGAACCCGGCCACTGGCACGGAGGGGCACGGTGAGGCCGGACTGCAGGGCCACCGTGGGGTGGTGTCGTCCCGAGCCTCAGCTGCAAGGGGGCAACCCTGGGCCTGTGTCACTGGCTGCGGAGGGACAAGTGAGAGGTCAGGCGCAAACACTAGGCACGGGGCCCAGTCCATGGCCGCGATCAGACGAGCCGGGCTCTCTCAGGGAGCGATGTGCGCCCGCGATCAGACGAATCGGGCTTTCTCAGGAGTGATGTGCACCAGCCCACACGGACTAGGCCTCACAGGGCTTTAATAATATTTTTACTTCAAAATGCTGCCATGATTTTGCCCACAGAGCAAACCAGAATGCTATGTTCAATTTTCTCACATTTGCAAAGAACCTGTTTACAAACCCGCTCATAAACGGGGGGCACAGCCTGGCGGGCATCAGAGGGTCAGGTGAGGAGTGGGTGTGCGGGCATCAGAGGGTCGGGTGAGGACTGGGCGTGCAGCTCAAACATGCCACGCAGCCAGGGCCCAAACACAGGGGACTGCAGGACATGTGGAGAAAGAAGGTCTCCCTGGGAAGAGCCAGGCTTTTCTTGCATGTTCTCCTTTGTGGAGTGGTGGATTTTCTTATGTATAGTTTTAATTTGGGAGAATTTGGAAGGTTCTGGAGTACACAGGGAACATCCTCTTGATAAAAGTGAATGAATCAGCATCCCCGTGGCGAGGCCAGAGGGGCCGACATTCAAGCCCAGCTCGTGGTCTGGCTGGATCCCAGTGCAGTGCCCTCTGTTGGGGGAAATCCTCCCCACGCCTCGTGAGGCTGAGGACTCTCGGCCCCGTGCTCACCTCCTCGATGGCGGGCTTCAGGGTGACATGCAGGTAATGCATCCCCGCCAGCTTCATGGTCTCGTCGATGCACTTGGACGCCAGTGAGTTTCCTCGGAAGATGGTGTTGGGGTCCCTGGGAAATGGCGATGGGGACAGCGTTTGTCTCCTGGGGACGCGGAAGTGCAGACGGAGCAGAGCCTGGCCCCGAGCACCTGCCTGTGGGCTGTGAGGTCAGTGCACGCCCATCAGTCGGCTTCCTGACATTTTACAAGGAGCACAACCAGGCCAGGTGCTTGGAGGCCCTGGCCATGGAACCGTCCTGTGTCAACACTGCCAGAGGGAACCGTTCGGCTACCTGCGTGGCCACCAGCTCAGGAGGAGCCTGGCTGGCCTTCGCCCTCCCGCCCTCTCCCCTCTGCGGCCTCTGCCTGTGCAGAGAGTTGGGCACCAGACCCTGGCAGCATCCAAGGGCCAGCAGAGAAGCAAACCCTCCTGTCAGCTACAGTGGCTGCAGGTGCAGCCAGATGTTTCTAGAACAGGGCGTCCGGAAACAGCACTAGGCAGGTCCTGAGGGAAGCTGTGCTCCATTTTTGTGGGCTCCCAAAGTGCCCCAGGGAGGGGACCTGAGCTGTCCTCGAGCCCCAGGAGCCGTTTCCCCTCCCCACTCACTCACTCTACCCGGGATTTCAAAGGCAAATGGGACTTTCAAAAAAAAAAAAAAGAATCATTAACTGGGTCTGTGAAAGAAAACCTGAATCAACATGGTTTCTGGGGACCCTTGAATTCCCTCAAGCCCTGCCCCAGGACACGTGGTTCTCGGCGACGACCTTGCCATCCCTGTAGCGGGTCCAGGCCGCTCTCCCCCGGGGCAGGGTGGGCACTCACTGGGTCCGCTTCACCTCCGCGCTGGCGATGGCACTGATGAATGGCACCACCCTGCCATAGTGTAGGAAGAGCCGCACCAGCGGGACGGCCGCCTCCTGCTTCTCCCGGCAAACCTCGCCCAGGATGTGGGCCGCAGACGCTGACACGGGCTGCGGGGAGGGGTGAGGTCAGTGCCAGGGCCCGGGGTGCAGGAACCCCAGAGGCCTGTCCCCACCTTGGCTGGGGTCTCACTTCCAGCCACAATAGATACGGCTCTTTGCTGAGACAGAAACACACACATTCACAAAAACACCAAACTTCCCATTTGCTGCTGCTTGGCTGGACCCTTGGAGGGGCATCTGCACCTCCTTCTAGCGACCCCCCCATGCAGCCAGCTCTAGGGCCCCTGAGCCGGTAGAGGGACTCTGATGATGGGGTCCCCCTCGAACAACCCGGAGAGTCCTTAGCATCACCAGGCTCCCACGGCTCTAACTGTCGACGGACCAGTGCCCCCAGCAAAGGGGTCCAGGCATCTGGACGGGAAACAGGCCAGGCTGGGAGGCGTGGGAAAGGCCCCCTCAGGGAGAAGGTGCCCTCTGGGGTGGGCCCGGGTGTAGGGTGGGGCCCCAGGCAGGTGGCACCTCCTGCCCACACCCACAGGCCACGGCGTGGACAAGCACCTCCACATCCGCAGACTTCAACAGCAGGTCCCGCAGAGGGCTGTAATAGTCAGAAGAAAACACGTGGTCTTCCGTGTATACCACGTTCAGCCGCAGGGAGCCCAGGTCGTCTGGCTTTAGGCTCTTGCTACCATTGTCCCGGGGCTGGAGGAAGTACCTGGGTGGGAGGGACACATGGAGGGGAGGCATGAGGCTGCATCTGCCAAGGAGCAGCTCTCAGGGAAGCCCAGCTGCCTGCTTGAGGTCGACTGGTCAGGAGGGTGATCCTGTAGGACCCCTCAGAGTGCAGCCCCTGGGGACTCCCCACCGAAGACCCCCAGCAGGGCTGGTCACCGGGGATCCCCAGGAGGCAAGTGTTGGAGCCAAAGGCGCAGGAGTCAAGGGGGGAAACGCGGAGGGGGATGGGGGTGGAACGTGGCAGGAACGGGTTTCCGGGAACCGGCACAGAAGTGGTCAGTGACCCGCCCTAAGACCCACACCCAGCAGTGTCAGCAGCAGGTGGAAATGAAAATTATCTCAACCAAAGTGTGCCGTGGCTCCCGATGTCACGGGGTGGGGGCCTTGGGCTAGTGAGCCTGGCAGGCCACCTGGGCACCTGGTCATTGTAAGAGACGTTTTCTGCCCGGACATTCTTCCATCTTTGGTTCTACCCCACGCAGTCACCCAGGAGCCCTCTTCTGCTCTCATTTGTGGGCCAGGCAGTCTAAGCTCTCAGGTGGGTGGAGCCTGTGTCCGAGGCCCCGCCCCCATCAGGTGGGTGGAGCCTGTATCCAAGGCATTAGCCCCCGTCAGGTGGGTGGAGCCTGTCTGCAGCATTAGCAGCCCGGTCAGGTTGGTGGAGCCCGTGTCCGAGACATTAGCACCCCTGTCAGGTAGGTGGAGCCTGTGTCCGAGGCATTAGATCCCCCCTCAGATGGATAGAGCCTGTGCCTGAGGCATTAGCCCCCGCCAGGTGGGTGGAGCCTGTGTCTGAGACATTGGCGCCCCCGTCAGGTGGGTGGAGCCTGTGTCCGAGGCATTAGCCCCCCTCAGGTGGGTGGAGCCTGTGTCCGAGGCATTAGCAGCCCTGTCAGGTGGGTGGAGCCTGTGTCCGAGGCATTAGCCCCCCTCAGGTGGGTGGAGCCTGTGTCCGAGGCATTAGCAGCCCTGTCAGGTGGGTGGAGCCTGTGTCCGAGGCATTAGCCCCCGCCAGGTGGGTGGAGCCTGTGTCCGAGGCATTAGCCCCCGCCAGGTGGGTGGAGCCTGTGTCCGAGGCATTAGCAGCCCTGTCAGGTGGGTGGAGCCTGTGTCCGAGGCATTAGCCCCCCTCAGGTGGGTGGAGCCTGTGTCCGAGGCATTAGCCCCCCTCAGGTGGGTGGAGCCTGTGTCCGAGGCATTAGCAGCCCTGTCAGGTGGGTGGAGCCTGTGTCCGAGGCATTAGCCCCCGCCAGGTGGGTGGAGCCTGTGTCCGAGGCATTAGCAGCCCTGTCAGGTGGGTGGAGCCTGTGTCCGAGGCATTAGCAACCCCGGTCAGGTGGGTGGAGCCTGTGTCTGAGGCATTAGCCGCCCCCCATCGCCCCAGGTAGGTAGAGCCTGTGTGCGAGGCATTAGCACCCTGGGGCTCTCTGGGGTATGTGGTGGCTGCCTTGGCTACCAGGGCCAGGGATTCATTCAGCATAGGAGGAAGCCTAACTCAGCTCAGGGGGCCTGTGCCCGTGCCGTCTTCGTAGAATCAAAAGACACGCGTGTTTCACGGTTTCTGGGATGGAAACCTGCCCTCACACATGGCAGAGGGACACATGGGGTGCGAGGCCCCGGCACACAGTCCACGCCTGGGAGTGCACGCTTCCCGTGACTCCGGGCCCTCTCAGGAGCTGCCTGTCGCTAAGGGACACACATGAACTGGAGATAAAATGAAACAATGGCCTGTTCCTTCCACCAAAACACCAAGCACCTGGAGACAACAGGAAAGAAAGGCAGGAGGCAGCAACACACAACATGTCCTGGGGTGGGTTCTGGGTCAGAGCCGACCACTGAGGTCTAGACGTGCAGAGGGGAGTAGAGAACCCTGTAATGCGCCCTCAACAGGAGGTGCTGCCGAGGGCCCAGAACAAGACCCGGAGCGCAGCCGCGGCGCAGCCCTGCTGTGTGCGCATTCTGGGCTCCTGCACCGGCTGCTGATGCCCTCCCCTACTGGTGTCAGACCTCACGAGCTGCTCGCGGCTCAGGGCCCCGCTTTCACCCAGGATCAGACCCCACGAGCTGCTCACAGCTCAGGGTCCCACTTTCGCCCAGGATCAGACCCTGCGAGCTGCTCGCGGCTCAGGGTCCCACTTTCACCCAGGATCAGACCCCGTGAGCTGCTCGTGGCTTAGGGCCGCTTTCACCCACGTTCCCTGTCTTGTTTTGAGGTGCCAGCCATTGTGAGTCCCTGCTCAGTGTGATCCCTGCTGCCTCTCCTCACCTGCCATTTCTCACCTGCTGTGGGGCAGAAACTCATCAAGCCAGAGCTCGTCAGAGCTACATGCAAAGTAAGAGCAGGTGGGTGCTGGGCACAGCCGAGGACCAGCACATGTGGCCTCTGTGCCTTTCCACTCAGAGGCAGCACGTGTTTTTGTGGCTCTCAGAGATGCGGAAGTCTGCAGGTGCAACATCATCTTACCACGCCTCGTAGGAGCTGGACTGCCGCAGGACTTTCAACGGGATCCTTAGTTCTCCCAGGAATTCATCTCCAAACTTCAGGTTACTGGCATTCCAGAGGTCAACTCTGAAAAACAGCATCAGGACAGCTCTAGCTGACGGCGGGCAGCCCGTGTGGAGCAAAGATGACAGGCCACGCTTTGTTCCCCCAGGAGCAGAATGGAGCCTGCAGCGCCTCCCAGAGTCTCCATCAAGGCTCAGCCCACAGGGCACGTTTCAAACACGTCAGACCAGCCTGTGGCTTTGGAATAAAGATGAGTGTCTCCCAGTGGTAATGGGCAGGCAGAGGAAGGCGGAAGGCCATGGGCCCGGACTCAGACCCAGGCTCTTAGATAGGAGGGAGCCTGGGCATCGCTGCGTGCACCCAGAAGCTACATGACCCCAGGCTCTTACATAGGAGGGAGCCTGGGCGTCGCTGCGTGCACCCAGGAGCTACATGACCCCAGGCTCTGTGCCAGGAGGGAGCCAGGCGTCGCTCTGTGCCAGGAGGGAGCCAGGAGTTGCTGTGTGCACCCAGGAGCTATGTGGCTGCTGCCACTCTCAGCTCCAGCACCATCTGTCCCCTTTGCCCACAACAGGCCCAGCACCAGCAGTCTGTGCACGGCGGGCAAATGTAGAACCCTGTCTCCATGGATTGCTCATGATCTAGGGGCACAAAGTGGATTCAGGGGCCATGCACACCACAGCGGGGGGAGAACTGTGGCCACAAACCACAGCACGGTCCACGAATCTCCGTGACTACCGCAGGCCCAGCATTGTGAAGCTTCTGCTCATGTCTAACACAGCAGCGGCTCCCACTAATGTTCTGTCCTAGTGTGGGATGGTACGTGTCCCCTCAGACCTGGGGCTGTGAAATTCTGACAGACATACAGCATCCCCGGCTGCAACAAGTCTACAGGGCTGGTAACCCAGTCCCTCATGGCCAGGACCCACTCATAGGCCTGAAACACCTGAAGTCATGCGTGGCCAGCCCTACCCACGGGCCTGAAACCACACAGTTACACGTGGCCAGCCCTACCCAGGGGGCTAAAACTCGGCAGGCCTAACCACACTGTGGGCATCAGGGGCATCCCCCTGGAGGGAGAAGATTCCAGAAGGCTGGGGATTTTGTTACCCTTGCGAATCCTGCAGGGAAGTGGCACCACAGAGGCACTGGCATCTGGGCCGGGGAGGGCTGACAGGCTGCACAGGAACCCACAGCGCGTTCCTTTCAGAAGGAACATGAGGGGACCGCTGATCTGCCCATGGACACTTTAAAAAAATGTGCTGAGTGGCCAGGCAGGCGCATTTGCCTTTAATAAGGGAAATATTTAAAACATGTTTTGTGTGCTTTTAAAAAATTTAATAACTAGGACTTCACTCCTGAATTCAAAACTTGGTGTAAAAAGAAACCAACAATGGCGCTTCCTTCTCTTGAAAAAGGGGCTGGTGTGAGTCCCTGGGGAGGCAGATCTGACCGACCACGTCAGGGACATTCTATGGTTCAGGACCCTGACCCCTCAGGAGGTGGATCTGACTGACCACGTCAGGGACATTCTATGGTTCAGGATGGAGACAACTATGGGGGACGGATCTGACCGATAACATCAGGGACATTCCTACAGTTCTCAACCACAAAACCACGCCTCCCAGCAGCCGTAGGGCCTGAGCCACGCACCGGCTCCACGTGTCCCATTAAGGGTCCCCCCAGGGCAGTGTTAGCCCCTGGGAGGGAGGGTGACCAGGGATTTGATGGCCAGCACATTCTCCAAAATGACCTAAAGAAAGCAGGTGCATCCCAGGCTCAGGGACATCCCAGGCTCGGGGACATCCCAGGCTCGGGGAACATCCCAGGCTCGGGGAACATCCCAGGCTTGGGGGCATCCCAGGCTCAGGGAACATCCCAGGCTCGGGGGCATCCCAGGCTCGGGGGCATCCTAGGCTCGGGGTCTCAGGGCCGGCTGGGGAGGGTCAGGAGGGAGCCGTTTCCTTCCTTCTCTGTCCAGCATGGGAAGATTCGGGGGCTTCAGGGGAGGCTCATCTGCCTCTTCATAGGGAATGGAGGCATTCGTTGGTACAGAAGGAACAGAGGCTACGTTCAAAAATAAACAGGAATCCAGCTTATTTTCACTGGGAGGAGGGAACCCGCCGGGGTTTGTGAAGGGCACATTCTGACGCCTGCCCTCCCCAGAACTCTGAGTCAGCGGGATCGTGGGGCTCTCTAAATCCTGGGCCTGAGATCGCGTCCTGACCTGCGTGAACCCACAAGCGATTTCCCCGTTTCCCGTGGGAGGCGTTGAGGAGCCAGGAAAGGGCGGTGGGGGCTCCATGGGCAAAGGCTGAAGATGCAGCTTCTATGACCATACACAGGAAACATGAACCCAGGACGCCAGGTGAGAGTGTTTCACTCGAGTCAAAGGGGACAGGGTCTCCACAGAGGCCACCCAGCCGAGAGTTTCAGCAGTGCCAGTGGGTCCTGCTCGGTCAGGGCCAGGCGTCGTGCTGACCCGCCAGGCCCTGCGACCTCTGAGTGAGGCCTGAACCCATGGAAGGCGGAGGGCTTAGAACAAGACCTTAAGAACGGCTGCAGCCCCCGTCACTCCAGGTGGATGAAGCCTTACGGCCAGAGGGATGCGGACCTCTGGCTTTCGCCTCTTCGCAGGTATTGCAAGGTGAGCCCTAACACCACCCACAGGCTGTCACTTCAACTACAACTTCTAACATCCTGTTGTGAAAATTACCAAGAAAATGGAAATTCATTTCTATCTATGACCCTATATTTAGTAACAAAGAACAAAAGAGCTGAGGAGTTTGGGTGAAAACTGCCAAGTTGGGGACGCGGAGCCTGGTTTTCTCACCTGATTTCGAGCTTGTCCACGTCTTCCTCCTCAAAGTCAAAGTGGGACTTCTTGCTGTAGCTACAGGGCCGGGTCACCTGGAGTCAGACGAGAGAGAAAGCGCTGAGACCGCGGTGCCACCAGGCGGGGGTATATGCGGACCTAGGCCCCGGGCTGCCCTACCCTCTGCGCTTACCCACACACCACTCAAGGGCCACAACCAGGAAGGCGCCAGGCGGGATTCGGGATTCAGGCCTGGCTTCCTGAGTGCCAGCATTTCCTACTCACGGCGCCCCTGGAGGGGCAGACCCAGGTGAGACCTGCCCCAAGGCTGTTCACGGCCACGGCCGGACTCTCCCAGTGGCTCCTGATGGGTGCCGGGCTCTGGGTACCTAAATGTCCGTCACCTGCGCCTGCTCTGGGCCTGCCACCCCGTGAGGGAGGGAGGGTCCCCTCTGCCGTGGAGACGAAGCCAGCGCCGCCCTCCCGTGGCCCCACCTCAAGGCTCTATTTGCCAACAGGAAGTGAAACGCGTGAGGTCTGTGGAGCCTGAACCTGGCCGGCCCCGAACAGGCCCCAGCACTCCAGGGAGGGTCAGACGGTGGAAAGTCAAGACGCTGCTACCTTCCTCCTGACACCTCCGCACCGTGGGTTCCTTAGAACAGAAACGGAGTGAAGGCGTGAAGGGTCGAGGCTCCGGGACCGCCCCCCGCCAGCCAGCAGGGCCCTTGCAGCAGAGCAGGAGGCCGACCCACAGGCTCCAGGAGACAGTGGTTATCACCTGGAGTTCCGATTTAACCACCATCAGCCGTGCACCAGGTCACCTGCGTTTACAAGAAGGGCTCCGTCCTGCCCGGCCTCCCTCCCTGCCCCCCCTTCTCCGGGCCTCAGCAGTGATGCTGGCTCAGGAGCTCTCAGCTCGAAGTTCTGATGTAAGGCTTGACACCAAAATCATGTTGCTAAAACTGCCTAACCTCTGAGCTTGCACTTCCTGATTGGTAAACTGAGGTGAAGATCACGCAGGGGCAGTTCTCTGCTTCGGGTTGAGGGCTGCTGACGCCTCCTCCTTCCTGACCTACACACCACTGTCCAAAAATTTGCTTCCCCCCAACTTCCCCATCTCACAAAACTCAGGTCAGGCAATGCCTCCTCCAGGAAGCCCCCAGTGCCCCTGCCTCATGCCCTCTCTGCAGGGCAGGTCAGGCAATGCCTCCTCCAGGAAGCCCCCAGTGCCCCTGCCTCACGCCCTCTCTGCAGGGCAGGTCGGGAGCTATTGTAGGGGCTTGTCTGTTTGCATCCCTCCCATGCTGGCCTGGTGTGGTGGCCTTGGACTCCTCTGTTTTCTGCCACATCTTATCACCAGCTGATCACCAGCACGGTGCTGGCACCTGACACGTGTTGAGTGAATGAAGGCAGCTCCTACCAAATTTATGAGATTATTTAATCTCATTTAGAGAGTTAAAGGGTCTTAATGTGTCTAGTTGTTATCCTGGAAGAAAATGGTACAGACGCTGCTTCCCATAGAAACGGAACATCTGTTTTCCTGGGTCTGCTCCCAGTAGGTGGCTGTCTGACCACAGCCCGCGGGGGATGTGCTCCCTCCCCGGGGCTCAGCCTCCAGCTGGGTCAGAAGCAGCTGAAGCCGAAAGAGACAGAGTCCTGGTGAAAGAGGTCTGCTAAGGAAGGGGAGGAGACGGAGTGAAAGGTCACAGAGCCCAAAGAGCAGGGCCCCGCGCGTCCCACACAGCAGCGGTCAGCGAGGTCCGGGCCTTCCCTGGAGCCCCACAGGTGGTGACGCAGACCATGGTTTTCAGACTGTCTGTGGTCACTAAATTGCTCCTGTAGGCTGAGACCCACGTCTTTACAGAGTGAAACAGGAGTGCACACAGTAGAAACAGCATGAGAACACTGCAAGCGTGATGAGCACCCGTGTGTGGCCGGGCAGTGGGCGAGCTCTACCCCACTGTGTGTATGACAGCTCTGTGTGTGGCAGCCAAGCCAGCAGCCGAGGCGGGGGGAGCTGCCACCTGGAACTCGGTCCATGCTGCATGCCTCCTGCACCTCCAACAGGGCCCACCCTCCCCCTGGGAGCCTGGCAGCTCCCTGCCTTCCCTCGCTCTGGCAAAACCATCTTCTCCGCCTGTCTATAAGTGAGGCTTCCGTTTGAGACAGAGAACAGATTCCACCTCTAAAGCCCTCCTCACAGTGGCCCTGAAAGCCTGGCCCTGGCTTTGGACACCAAGTTCCCACCTCTGCCTGTGGGGCCCTTTCGAGCCTCAGCAGTGCCAGTGGGTCCTACTCAGTCAGGACCCACTGACCGGTAGGTCCACTCTCCTACGGTCCCCTGAGAGCTGCATGCATCGAGCCCCACTCAGCCATCATGGCTCAGGGGAGCCCGCCCGACCCCTCAGATGTGACTGGCCATGCTCTTGCCACAGAGGCCTCATCCATCCTCACATCTCCAGGGCCTGTGCACCGGAATGTTTGTGGATGGGAAGAACATCTGCCTAAAGGCCCTGCACACAGCTGTCCCCAAACCGCACCGGCCACATGGCAGGTCCTCACTCCACGAGATGCAGCCATCCCAAACGGGGTCACATTCCACCAGGTGCACCCTTGCACCCTCCTTTTCATGGATTTTGGTGCTTCATGTTCTGAGAGGATCTCTGTGTCTGAATCCTTTCCCCTTTGTTTCAAAACCCTGCCTATTTCCACTGGAACAAGCCTTCCGCCTCTCAGGGATGCTTGGGCAGAGCAGCCAAAAAAACAAAAACCCCCAAGGTCCTGGTAATTTGGAAAGCATTAATCTGTCATCTTTTAACTCAAATCTGGGCCAGTTCGGGAGACAACGAATGACCTTTCTCTCTTGGGAGAGGAGGGAAGGTCCTGTGGCCACGGGTCCAATCCCCAGGGCTGGCTGGCTGGGCTCGCTCCTCTCCGGAAGGAACCCAGGGCCGGCCGGCGGGGCTCGCTCCTCTCCGGAAGGAACCCAGGGCCGGCTGGCGGGGCTCGCTCCTCTCCGGAAGGAACTTCCAGAGGGAAGAGACTGAGATCATTCTGGATCCAGACTTTCTGCCAACGTGTCTCGGGTGCAGAGTTTCCACTTAACGTTGACCCATGAAGATACCAACCTCAAAATAAAACACTTCATCGAACTGGGGATTGTTGGTCTTCCTCTTCACTTTCGTCTTCTTTGCTTCTGATCTGTTATCAAGTGAGAAAGGATTGGGATTAAAACAACACTGCTGATTCCAAGTCTCTCAGTGGTAAAACCGAGCTCTCAAATGCACAAGTCACTTATTGGCTTTATTTATTTTATAAATATTTCTGCTGGTCTCCAACTCCAGATGGTATGCAAATCAGGAACCTTTACTCAGCCAAAAATACCCAGCGTGAAGAGCATGAAGGCTTCATTTTCTACAAAGCAATTTTGGAGCAATAAAGAAAACAAAAGGAAGTAAAAATTCACATTCTACCTCAAAGCGCAACCTCCTGACTCCTCCCAAATGAGGCAGTGGTCTCGTGATTTCAGAGCTGGACCCTAGCCCCCCAGGACCAGAACAGAAACCTGAAGCGTGAGGCAACTTGCCTGAAGGGTCCTGCCAGCGTCACGGTGGCGTAGGGGTCACATTGCCCATTCACGATGGGGAGGCCCTGGCACTCGACGATGCTGAGGAGAGAAGCAGAGGCGGCGTCAGGAGGGAGCGCAGACACCTGGGCGAATGGCGAGACAGCTCTGGGTCAGGCAGGAGGCCTGAGTTCAAGCTGTGAGATGAGGTTTCCTCACCGGAAGGCAGGGAGGGCCACACCAGCCATTCTGCCTCGGTGTGACGCTGAATCACGCTGGCCATTCACAAAAGCCCAAAACAACACCTCTAAGGTGAGCATGTGCTTTAGCGTGGACGCCAGCAGTGTGTGACAGCACATCTAAAGCAGCGTCATCGGGGGGGCGGGGGGCAGGACCCCTAAAACAGTGTCATCCTGGGGGCCAGGACCCCTAAAACAGCATCATCTGGGAGCCAGGACCCCTAAAACAGTGTCATCTGGGAGCCAGGATCTCTAAAACAGCGTCATCCTGGGGGCCAGGACCCCTAAAACAGTGTCATCCTGGGGGCCAGGGCCCCTAAAACAGCATCATCTGGGAGCTAAGACCTCTAAAACAGCATCATCCTGGGGGCCAGGACCCCTAAAACAGCGTCATCTGGGAGCCAGGACCCCTAAAACAGTGTCATCTGGGAGCCAGGACCTCTAAAACAGCGTCATCCTGGGGGCCCAGAACCTCTAAAACAGCGTCATCCTGGAAGGGGGCCAGAACTTCTAAAACAGCATCATCCTGGGGCAACCTCTAAAACGGCATCATCCTGGGGGCCAGGACCTCTAAAACAGCATCATCCTGGGGCCAGGACCTCTAAAACAGTGTCATCCTGGGGCCAGGACCTCTAAAACGGCATCATCCTGGGGCCAGGACCTCTAAAACGGCATCATCCTGGGGCCAGGACCTCTAAAACAGTGTCATCCTGGGGCCAGGACCTCTAAAACGGCGTCATCCTGGGGCCAGGACCTCTAAAACGGCATCATCCTGGGGGCCAGGACCTCTAAAACGGCATCATCCTGGGGCCAGGACCTCTAAAACAGTGTCATCCTGGGGCCAGGACCTCTAAAACGGCATCATCCTGGGGCCAGGACCTCTAAAACGGCATCATCCTGGGGCCAGGACCTCTAAAACGGCATCATCCTGGGGCCAGGACCTCTAAAACGGCATCATCCTGGAGGCCAGGACCTCTAAAACGGCATCATCCTGGGGCCAGGACCTCTAAAACGGCATCATCCTGGGGGCCAGGACCTCTAAAACGGCATCATCCTGGGGCCAGGACCTCTAAAACGACGTCATCCTGGGGGCCAGGACCTCTAAAACAGCTTCATCCTGGTGGGCCAGGACCTCTAAAACGGCGTCATCCTGGGGGCCAGGACCTCTAAAACGGCATCATCCTGGGGCCAGGACCTCTAAAACGGCATCATCCTGGGGCCAGGACCTCTAAAACGGCATCATCCTGGGGGCCAGGACCTCTAAAACGGCATCATCCTGGGGCCAGGACCTCTAAAACGGCATCATCCTGGGGCCAGGACCTCTAAAACGACGTCATCCTGGGGGCCAGGACCTCTAAAACGGCATCATCCTGGGGGCCAGGACCTCTAAAACGGCGTCATCCTGGGGGCCAGGACCTCTAAAACGGCGTCATCCTGGGGGCCAGGACCTCTAAAACGGCGTCATCCTGGGGGCCAGGACCTCTAAAACAGCATCATCCTGGTGGGCCAGGACCTCTAAAACGGCGTCATCCTGGGGGCCAGGACCTCTAAAATGGCGTCATCCTGGTGGGCCAGGACCCCTAAAACAGCATCATCCTGGTGGGCCAGGACCTCTAAACAGTGTCATCCTGGGCAGCCACCGGCTCTGGAAATTCTTGTGCGTTGGTGTGAAAACCCCTGTGTGCTCCTCGGGAGCCAGACATGCCACTCGCTGTGCGCTCGGTCTCTAGTGAGGACGTGTCTTACCGTGTGGCGAGCTTGTGGCAGACGACCCCAGTGTCTGTGATGACCTCGCTCAGCCGCAGCTCCAGGTGCACTTTGCCCTGCAAGGCACAAGGATGGGGTGTCAGAGGCTGTGGCGCTGCTCCCACAGGCCACTAGGGCCGCGCGCCCAGGGAAAGCCTAGAGGGCAAAGGGAGCAGGCGGCCCCGCCCTGCCCTGGCCAATGGGCACGTCCAGCCCCTCCACTCCACCCCCGGGACGCAGGGTCCCAGCTGTGGCCTTTCTCCAGGAGAGCTGCTTGCCTGACTGCTCAGCCCCATGTGGCTGCCCAGGCTCCTGGCTCTGCTGAGAGCAGGTCGCTGCCTCAGAAGTGAGGGGTCCAACCGTGTAGGAGACGGTCATTCAGTGAAGCAGACCCCCAAAGGCTCTGATGCTGCAGGCTGCTCGTGTGTCCGTCGGGACAAACCAGAGGGGAAGCACAGCTGTCTCCCAAGCAGGGGCCACTGCCTTTACCTCCCCTCGGGCGAGGCCGGATGGAGGCCCGCAGGAACCTCGGAGAGCTCACACAGAGGGCAAGGCTCACACAGAGGGCAAGACTCACACAGGAGGCAAGACTCACGCAGAGAGCAAGACTCACACAGAGGGCAAGGCTCACACAGAGGGCAAGGCTCACACAGAGGGCAAGGCTCACACAGAGGGCAAGACTCACACAGAGGGCAAGACTCACACAGAGAGCAAGACTCACACAGAGGGCAAGACTCACACAGACAGCAAGGCTCACGGGGGCTTCTAGCAGAGCAGACAGCAAGGCTGCCCTGCGGGTCCACCTGTCTCTCTAGATCAGTCTGTCTGTGTGTGCTGCTGTGTCCATCCACCTGTCTGTCTGTGTGCACGGCTGTGGGTGTGTGTCCACCTGTCTGTGCGTACAACTGTGTGTCTGCCTGTGTGCGTGCGGTTTGTGTGTGCAGCTGTGTATGTGAGCATGCTGCTGTGTGTGCATGTCCACCTGTATGTGTGTCCGCCTGTGTCTGTGCATCTGGCTGTGTGTGTGCAGCTGTGTGTCCTCCTGTGTGTGCGGCTGTGTGTCTACCTGTGTGCGTGCAACTGTGTGTGTCTATGTGTGTCTGCCTATGCATGCATGCGACTATGTGTGTCCATCTGTGCTGCTGTGTGCGTGTCTGCCTGTGTAGCTGTGTGTCCGCCTGTGTGTGCGGCTGTGTGTCTGCCTGTGTGCGTGCAACTGTGTGTCCATCTGTGTGTGGCTGTGTCCACCTGTGTGCATGCGACTGTGTGTCTACCTGTGTGTGCATGTGATTGTGTGTATCTGCTTGTATGTGTCCACCTGTGTGCATGTTCGCCTGTGTGTGCATGCAGCTGTGTGTGTCTGCCTGTCTGTGCATGTGGCTATGTGTCTGTGTGGGCGTGCGATTGTGTGTGCGTGTCCGTCTGTGTGCACACGGCTGTGTGTCTGCCTGTGTTTGCATGAAACTGTGTGTGTCTGCCTGTCGGTGTCTGCCTGTCTGTATGTGCATCTGCCTGTCTGTGTGTTTGGCTGTGTGTGTCCTTCTGTGTGTGTGTGCGACTATGTGTGCATGTCTGTCTGTGTGCAAGCAGCTGTGTGTGCATCTGCCTGTATGTGCATGCAACTCTGTGTGTGTCTACCTGTCTGTAGTGTGTGGCTGTGTGCATGTCCTTCTGTGTGTGTGCGCGACTGTGTCTGCCTGTCTGTGCGCGTGGCTGTGTGTCCACCTGTGTATGTGTGTTTGTCCGCCTGTCTGTACATGCGACTGTGTGTGCATGTCTGCCTGTGTGTGCACCGCCTGTGTGTATGTGTGACTGTGTCCACCTGTGTGTGTGTGCGGCTATGTGTGCCTACCTGTGTGTGCCGCTGTCCCTGTATTTGCTCCAGCCTGAATGGCAATGAATGGATGGGATAAACACAGACTCATCCATGCTTCAGGGGCTCTGCCTGGCCCGGCCCTTAGCTCTAGCTCCTGAGGCTCCGGGAAGGCCAAGGCGTGTTCCCCAGGGCTTGTCCCTGCCTGTGGGAGGGTGGGACAGACGGGCAGAATGCCTGGCGCTAAGACGTGGACGGCAGAACCGACAGCAGCCCTGCAGCACGTGGCCTGGTGCAGAACCTCGGATGGAGCAGGGACCTCGCTTAGGCCCCACCCACCTAAATGATTAAAAAACCTTCGAGTTCCTTCAAAAATATATCAGACACCTAGCCAGCCTTGAGTGGTAAATCACCTAACAAGCAAAATAAATAATAAAATAATAGCCAAAAAATTAGTCAGGAGATATTTATTCCCTATACAAGTTAAAAATAGCATCTTAACATATGTCCCTAAATTGTTTTTCAAAAACCGAGACCCTCACCAAACAGATCTACCAACACAGACCACAAATGCAGGGGGGATCACAGGCCCGAACCCTGAACCCGGCTCTATTCTGAATTTCTTCCTCAGGGGCCAGGAGGGGTCATGCCTGTGGGCCAGAGCCAACATTCTTTTCTGCTGATCTCAATTGTTTGGACAAAGCTTCTCCTCCTTAACCAATCACAAATCAAAAACGCTCTATATCCGACCCATGGGCCACACGTCGTGATGTCTGCCTTCTCAGGTCAAACTGACATACGGCCTCCATGTACTGATTTATGACTTTGCCACAACCTCAGCCTCCCCACCTTCTGAAACCCTTGCCTGTGAACCCTCGGGGTGCCTGGGTCGTGGGCGCAGCCTGCCCTGCCAGGGTGCACACCCCGAAGCCCCTGGTCAGGGAGTGGAACATAAAGCCCTTCAGCCCTCACTTGACACCGCGTCGGTGCAGCCCCACGGCACCCCCACACTTGATACTATGCCCCACGGCACCCCCACACTTGGCACCACGTTCCACGGCACCCCCACACTGACAACACGTCCCACGGCACCCCTACACTTGACACCACGTTCCATGGCACCCCCACACTGACACCACGCCCCACGGCACCCCCACACTGACACCACGCCCCACGGCACCCCCACACTGACACCACGCCCCACGGCACCCCCACACTTGATACCACGTTCCACGGCACCCCCACACTGACACCACACCCCACAGCACCCCCACACTTGATACCATGCCCCACAGCACCCCCACACTTGACACCACGTTCCACGGCACCCCCACACTGACACCACACCCCAAAGCACCCCCACACTTGATACCATGTTCCACGGCACCCCCACACTTGATACCACGTTCCACGGCACCCCCACACTGACACCACACCCCACAGCACCCCCACACTTGATACCATGCCCCACAGCACCCCCACACTTGACACCACGTTCCACGGAACCCCCGCACTGACACCACACCCCACGGCACCCCCACACTGACACCACGCCCCACGGCACCCCCACACTGACACCACGCCCCACAGCACCCCCACACTTGACACCACGTTCCACGGCACCCCCACACTTGACACCACGTTCCATGGCACCCCCACACTGACAACACGCCCCACGGCACCCCCACACTTGATACCACGTTCCACGGCACCCCCACACTGACACCACACCCCACAGCACCCCTACACTTGACACCACGTTCCATGGCACCCCCACACTTCATACCATGTTCCACGGCACCCCCACACTGACACCACGCCCCACGGCACCCCCACACTGACACCACGCCCCACGGCACCCCCACACTGACACCACGCCCCACGGCACCCCCACACTGACACCACGCCCCACGGCACCCCCGCACTGACACCACGTTCCACGGCACCCCACACTTCATACCACGTTCCACGGCACCCCCACACTTGACACCACGCCCCACGGAACCCCCACACTTGACACCACGTTCCACGGCACCCCCACACTGACACCACGCCCCACGGCACCCCCACACTTGACCCAGCGCTCACAGGGGGAATGGAACTGGGTCTGTGCTGCCCAGGCAGGTGTGGGAGGTGGGGCCTCCGCTGCTGTCCTGAGACTCTGGGGTCTGGAGGTTGGGTGTGGCCTTCCCGCCCTGTGGCTGCAGCCCCAGAGCAGGTCCTGAGGGGCCACAAGGATGTTGGGCCGGGAAGGTGGGCATGAACCCCACGCCAGCACTGTGGGCGGGGAAAACAGGTGCCTAAAATGACAACAAAGACCCCACCAAGACCACAGCTCCTCTTCCCACACCCATCAGAGCTCAGGGCTGAGCGGAGTATCGCCTGTGGTCCTCACCGCCTGGCAGCGGGCCTGCTATCCGTGGCTATCCATGGGCTAAAGGAGTGCCCTGAACACCAGCCGGGCAGTGGGCCTGCTATCCGTGGCTATCCACGGGCTAAAGGAGTGCCCTGAACACCAGCCGGGCACTGGGCCTGCTATCCGTGGCTATCCACGGGCTAAAGGAGTGGCCTGACCACCAAAGACAGGAGAAAGTGCCTGACCCAAGAATAACCAAGAATCCCCACTGCTTCATCCCCGTTCTCAAATGCCGGGCGCAAACTCTCTCAGGACAGAAGCGTTCAGATTTGCAAGGCTGTGCAGACGGAGGTAGCTCTATTCACATTCGGGAGCTTCAGGAAGAGTCACGACTGCATGTGGGGGGTCCTGGTCCCCAGCAGCAGGCTGTGTGGCCCCCGTGTGCTCTCCCGGCCCCTGGCAGCAGGCTGTGCGGCCCCCGTGTGCTCTCCCGGCTCCTGGCCGGGTCCAGGGGCACCTGGCTGGTCACCATCAGGTCCTGAGGCTGCTCCTGTTCCTGCAGCATGAATCCCTCCTGACCAGCTGACTTGTGTGCTTTCGTCTTCTGCTGATTCAGGAGTGGGAACAAACAAAACCCACCCCTGGAAGGCCCTTTCTCCTGCCAGAAAAGCCAATGAGTAAATCTGCAGGTGCTGGCGCAGGCTGGAGAATCCCAGACATTTAGAGGTTAAACAACACAGTTCTAAATAACACACAGATCAGAGAACGCAAGACAAATTTTAAAATGTTCCGGAATAAACAGAAATGAAAGTGTTACTCATCAAAATCAGTGGGATGAAGCGGGAGCCGTGCTCGGGGTGGAGGGGAATCTGGAGTGCCGGCCACACAGACTAGAGCAGAAGGGAGATCTGAACGCTGACCTGAGCTTAGAGCAGAAGGGAGATCTGAACGCTGACCTGAGCTTAGAGCAGAAGGGAGATCTGAACGCTGACCTGAGCTTAGAGCAGAAGGGAGAGCTGAACGCTGACCTGAGCTTAGAGCAGAAGGGAGATCTGAACGCTGACCTGAGCTTAGAGCAGAAGGGAGATCTGAACGCTGACCTGAGCTTAGAGCTGGGAGACTGAGAAAAATGAGTAAACTAAACCCAGAGCCCAAGAACAGAAAACAGAAGTCAGATCGGAAACCAATAGGTAAAAATCAAAGCCAACGGCAAATTCCTTGAGAGATCAATAAAATTAATAAACCTCAAACCAGGCTACTAAGAGCAAAAGGGAAAAGGCACAAATTCCCACAGGAAAGGAACGAGAGGACCTGGCTGCCGACCCTGGCACCTGCCTGGACGCTGCACTGAGGTCCCTGGCGCTGCACTCCTGCGAACTCACAGACGCAGCAAAGGGGCCCCAGCGTCCAGCTCCTGACAACGTGTGGCTGCAGTGTCACCCATGGGGCCCTGGGCGGGGGCTGCTGAGGGGTGTATGGAAACTCTGTACTCTGCTCAATTTCCCTGTGAACACAGAACTGCCCCCAAAACAGAGTTAATTAATTTTTAAAAAGCAGCCAATGGTCCCTATCCATCTTTCTCAGGAAGGCCTTCCCCAGGGAGAGAGCAGCGCGCAGAGCCGGGTCAGGGTCCTGGCCCCACCCACCGGTTGCCGTGTCCCCCACTGAGCGGGCAGCGGCCCAGAGAGCAGCCAGGACAGAGGTGCCTTGGATGCAGGACTGTTCCACGCCGGCCGCAGAGAGGAGACGAAGTCCGCGGGCAGATGAGACAGGATGCAGAGGCCATGAGGAAGGAAGCCCAGCCTCGGCCGTCTCCTCTTACAACCCTGGAGAGATGTGAAAGCTTGACGACGGACGGTGACTTTGTTTGCTCCGAAAATCCTTCCAAGAGGACTGTCTGCTGCACAAACACAAAATTCCCAGAGGCTGTAGCAGGAGGCTGGAATTTCCAGCCCAGTGAGATTTCACGGTGCAACTGGAAGGCTCCAAGGGGGAAACACGTAGGTGTCTCTTGGGCGGATGGCAGACCCAGGGGTTTGCTGTGATCCCCTGCAGGGCTGTGCTATTTTCTGAATACGTCACAGATGCACTTGAAAGCCTGGTTTATAAACGGAGCTCAGTGACCCCCAGGCGCCCAGATCACCGCGGATGCCTCGCTGTCACAGGCGGTGCCCTCGCTGGCATCTGACGCTGGCATCTCCCCCACTGGCATCTGACGCTGGCGTCTCCCCCGCTGGCCCTGCATCAGGGGAGGGTCAGAGAGCACAACTCTGCATAATAAAGTGATTTAACAAAGACTTTCCAACAGTGGCCGTTCCAGAAGGAAGCAAGAAAGGTTTAATTGTGTTTCCCCCATTTCTGTGACTCACTTGCTGGCCTCCCCCATGGGCTGCTTCTGTGACACTCGCTGTCCGGACACAGGACTGTTCCTGGGAATCACAGAGCGGAGGGACTCATGGAGCCACATGGCTACCCCCTGCCTTCCTGAAAATGGTCACTGTGACATCTTATGATGAAACGGCGGCTCCTGAGACTGGAGTTGTGGGGTTTTTTTTCTTCTTCTTCTTCTTTTTTTGAGATGGAGTTTCACTCTTGTTGCCCAGGCTGGAGTGCAATGGCGCGATCTCAGCTCACAGCAACCTCCGCCTCCCGGGTTCAAGCGATTCTCCTGCCTCAACCTCCGGAGTAGCTGGGATTACAGGCATGCGCCACCACGCCCGGCTAATTTTGTATTTTCAGTAGAGACGGGGTTTCACCATGTTGGTCAGGCTGGTCTCAAACACCTGACCTCAGGTGATCCACCCGCCTCGGCCTCCCAAAGTGCTGGAATTACAAGCATGAGCCACCGCGCCCAGCCTGGAGTTGAGGTTTTAAAGGTTGGCTGGAGTCCAGCAGGGCCACTGCTCCCTGTCACGCTACGTTTTGGGCGGCGTTGGGGCTGACTGCATCAGTGAAGCAACGCATTGGAGAGCAGCGGGCATTGGAGAGCAATGACCTTGCCTCCTCCCTTTTAGACAACAGCTCGCATTTGCCTTCCATAAAGTGCAAATTCCCGGGAGACTGACACCACTCGGTTCAGGATCCTCATGTTCCGGACAGTGAGAGTCAGGCTTGGAGGACGCTGGGCTTGGCCACGGGTACGCAGCCTCGGGCGTTAATTATGAGATTCCACCAGCTGTGAGATCAACCTGCGGCATTCTTATTTACAGCTTTGTGGAGATGCAACGTCTGAGTCCTGATCGTCATGGTGGTTACACTATCTACCCTGTGATGAAGTTGCACCGACTGTCACAACAGCCCATCGGCAGGTGACTGGAGCAACAGCACACGCTTCGCACCTCGGACCATTCCTCAGCCTTGGAAGGAAGGAGGTTCTGATACCACAAGCGACCCGGAGGATGTCACGCAGAGCGACATTAGCCTCAGAAAGACCAGCAGGGTAGAGCTCACTCCCATGAGCCACGGGGAGTGGCCTGCGTCAGAGACAGAGTGCCATGGGGCTGCCGGTGGGGAAGGGGCGGACGGGAGCGTGTGAATAAAACTCTAGCCAGGGGACAGAGGGGACGGAGGTTCCGTTTTGCAAGATGAAAGGAGCTCTAGAGATGGGTGGTGGTGACGGTTATACAATATTATGAATATATTCAATGCTATACCACTGAATTGGACATTTTAAATGGTTAAAATGGTAAATTTCATGTCTCTGTTTTACCACATAAAAAACTGGAAAAAATAGCATAGAATACACAGAGAGACACACACAGAAACACGTGCCTGTGAACTGGTGAAATCTGGATAACATCCGTGGACTGCACAAACGTCGGCGTCCTGGTTGACGTTGCACCAGCTGCGCATGGCAGTGCCTGGGGAAGCCGGGAGAAGGGAGCACAGCCTTCTGTTTGGGGAAGCCAGGAGAAGGGAGCACGGCCGTCCGTTCGGGGGAGCCGGGAGAAGGGAGCACGGCCTTCCGTTCGGGGGAGCCGGGAGAAGGGAGCACGGCCTTCCGTTTTCAGGGAAAGGTGGGAATTCGCCCCTCGCCACTCCTGTGTACTGTTTTGATGCCTTCCTATAGATCTATAACCATTTCAAAATTAAATCAGTAAAAAAAAAAAAAAGGCAAGAAAGAGGAAAAGCTACACCTGCCAATAAAACCAAACTTGAATCCGAGGCAAACGACGAGGCCGCACTCTGCCAGCTGCTCAGAGGCCGTTGTGACGGAGACCCCAGCGACGGCGGGTATCCCAGAATAGAAGAGCTGGGGAACTCGCCGACACGCAGGCGGGAGCGGCCCAGTCACCAAGCCCCGTCTCCCGGGCAGCACGTGGGAAACCCCGCCTTTCTGCCGGGACGCCAAGGTCCGTGGGAGCAGCACGCTGGGGCCCTTGTGCTCCGGGGATGCGAGGACAGTCATTAGTTCTGCAGTAATCACAGCGTCCTTCACTTTCCACAGCACGTGTGGGTTCCCCAGCCAGTGCTTTCCCAGGAAGCAGAGTTAATTAAGTGTGACGCACAATTAGCACAGGTCCCTTGGGGCAGGGCCATCCCCAGGGCTTCTTGGCTCCACTCCTTAATTTCCGTCAAGGGCCTCACCCCACCCCCACAGCTGGGCTCATGGTCAACTTCATGAATGAACCCTTTGCTGGCCATGGGCGTGTGCACAGCTCATGACCTTGGCAAATGGCAACCTTGACCCAGTGAAGCGCAGAGGATGAGGGTTGCCAGGGCAAGACGGTTCCCAGAGGACGAGGGTTCCCAGAGGACGAGGGTTCCCGAGGGATGAGGGTTCCAGGAGGATGAGGGTTGCCGGGGGACAAGGGTTCCCAGAGGACACCAGGCCATCCAGTCCCCCAGCCCAAATTTGCCCTGAACTTGCGGGCACAGAGCCTCCATCCGACCCACCCAGTTGCCTCTGCTGAAGTCTCAGGCGAAGTCCTCACAAGGAACCTATTTTGGGGATTTGTCCAGGATGCCAGCCTCCAGGTGTAAAAATAACCATCACAGCCACCAATTTACGATGCGCCAGGTGCCTTCGAGTGGCACACACGCCATACCAGCACGCTTCACAAACCCACCCAGATGGGAAAACTGAGGCCTGCAAAGGACGTTGGCAACAATCCGATGAGGGAGCTGGCTCCGAGCCTGGCGGCCTGTGCTGGGACTCTGCACTCAGACACACACTGTGGTACCAGCTGAGGACCCAGGAAGCCCTCCCACATCCCAGGGCCGCTGTGCTGCAACCCCATACTCAGACACTCACCCTCCTACGTCCCAGGGCCGCTGTGCAGCAACACTACACTCAGACACTCACTGCGGTCCCAGCTGAGGACCCAGGAAGCCCTCCTGTGTCCCAGGGACGCTGTGCAGCAACCCTACACTCAGACACTCACTGCGGTCCCAACTGAGGACCCAGGAAGCCCTCCCGCGTCCCAAGGGCGCTGTGCCACAACCCTACACTCAGACGCTCACTGCGGTCCCAGCTGAGGACCCAGGAAGCCGTCCGGTGTCCCAGGGACCCTGTGCCGCAACCCTACACTCAGACACTTACTGTGGTCCCAGCTGAGGACCCACTTGGGAAACCCTCCCACGTCCCAGGGTTGGGCCACGGTGCCTCTTGCTTGTGGCCTTTGCAGCTGCTCTGTGTCACAGACCAGGGCTCAGGGTGACCCCACAGGAGCTGGTGCAGGCTTGGGCTCCGGTGGACTGACCCCCACTGCTCCCTCTGTTACAGGCAAGCCTGGAGCAGCTGTTGCCGGGCAGCTGGGCACCGTGCGTCCGTGAGCAGCTGTGAACACAAGGGTCTGGGACATGGGCCCCAGCACTGGAGCCCCCGGTCTTGCGTGGGGAGGTGGGACAAGCTCCCCCCACTGGACAGGACCGGGGTGAGCCCCAGTCAGCACACAGTCCCGGCAAGCCAGGGTGAGCCCCTGGCCACTTTCGACAATGGACACGGGAGACCAGAACGCTCTTTCAGCTCAGACCCTTCTTGGTGCCGCGTGCCAGGCAACAGCCCGCCCAGCCAACCGTGGGGAAGTGAGGGTCCCTGAGGGCTGACCCTGGCTCGGCCCTTCCCCACCCATGTTTTCTCTTGGGCCTCAATGACGCGTGCCTGTCCTTTCCCACCGTGTTTGTTTTCACAGCTTCCTCAGTTGTGCATGACAAAGGGCGGCAGTAGGCAAAGGGAAAACCCAAAATCCATGCACGGAGCCCAGGCTCACTCCGAGCACAAGTGGGCGAACAGACACAATGCAAAATCCATGACAGAGCCTGCGCTCACTCCGACCACAAGCGGGTGAACACGCCCAACCCAAAATCCATGGCAGAGACCGCGCTCACTCCGAGCACAAGCGGGCGAACACGCACAACCCAAAATCCATGGCAGAGACCGCGCTCACTCCGAGCACAAGCGGGCGAACACGCACAACCCAAAATCCATGGCAGAGACCGCGCTCACTCCGAGCACAAGCGGGCGAACACGCACAACCCAAAATCCATGGCAGAGACCGCGCTCACTCCGAGCACAAGCGGGCGAACACGCACAACCCAAAATCCATGGCGGAGCCCGCGCTCACTCCGAGCACAAGCGGGCGAACACGCACAACCCAAAATCCATGGCGGAGCCCGCGCTCACTCCGAGCACAAGCGGGCGAACACGCACAACCCAAAATCCATGGCAGAGCCTGCGCTCACTCCGAGCACAAGCAGGCAAACACGCACAACCCAAAATCCACACGCGGAGCCCGCGCTCACTCCGAGCACAAGCGGGCGAACATGCACAACCCAAAATCCATGGCAGAGCCTGCGCTCACTCCGAGCACAAGCAGGCGAACACGCACAACCCAAAATCCATGGCGGAGCCCGCGCTCACTCCGAGCACAAGTGGGCGAACACGCAATCTGCTCATCGTTATTCCCAGTCAAGGCCGAAGCCCGATCTACGTCTTTAGCCACAGTCGGAGCCGGGCCCGTCTCGAAGCCCCATGGTGTCCCAGGGCTCTGGTTTCCGGGGCTGCGCCGAGAGTCTCACCTGCACTTCCGAGTCAGCGTCCACGTGCTGCAGCTGGAACCAGGTGTCCCTGTTGTGGTACTTCTGCAAGTCCTCCTTCTGGATGGCCACCTTCCCTGCAACACAAGCAGAGAAGACTTCACCACGGGCACAGGCCCCAGAGCCAGGACGCCTGTGAGCAGAAGCCAGCCCATCATCACCGCAGCTTATTTCCAACAGTTTAATTCAGAATGGGGCACCGGCCGGGTGCGGGGCTCATGCCTGGAACCCCCACGCTTGGGAGGCCCAGGGGGGAGGGTCGCTTGAGACCAGCCTGAGCGATATGGTGAAAACTTGTCTCTACAAAAAATAAAGGAATGAGCCGGGCATGGTGGCACTGTATCTCTAAAAATTGATATTAAAAAGTCAAAATAATCAGGTGCAGCGGTAAGTCTCCACTGTGTCCCTTCCAGTAAGGCGTTCCAGAGGCTTCGCTGTGAAGGCGCGAACGTCCGCTCCATCGGCAATGTGCGCCTCACTTTCACTGTGGTCCGTGGCCAGTTCTCACAGCAGGAGGTGCCTCGGAGCTGGCTGCACCAGAGCTCTGATCTCACAAATGAACACCCCGTGCCTCACACACCACCAAGGCAGCAGCATCACGCCACAAGAGACACGTGTGCACCCGTGCGAGCGACAGCCTGAAACACACGTGTGCCTAGGGTGCTTTCCGTGTGTGTGGACACGCACGTGTGTGCATGCATGTGGGTGCTCAGGTTATTCACAGGCAGGACTGAGAGCCAGAATGAGCTGCCACCTTCCCACGCGACGTGGGTTGGTCTGAATCTGTGCCTCTAAAGTGTAATGAATGAGCCGCCTTCTGGGACCCCTGGAGAGCCTGAAAGTGTAGATTCCTGGCCTTCTCCAGACGGAGGAGAACAGAGGCTCTGGTGTGGGCTGGAATCTGCACCACCACAGGTCCCTGGGCACTTGTGTGGGCCCCAAAGTCTGGGAACGTCCACTCTAAACAGTTTCCCGTGCCTTAAACAGGCTTAGTACTTTGGGGCTACGCTTCCAGTGAAAATACGTATCAGAATATATTTGTACAATATACGTTTACCTAGTATGGATTTATATGTGTAAATTCGCATCTGCAACCATTATTATCTGCTTATACGTTCACCTCATTCCAGAAACATTCCCGAGGCGCGGCAAACGTGTGCCCATCCCATCCCCGGCAGGACAGGGCTTGTCAGGCGCTGGGCACCGAGCCATCTCCCATCCTGCGTCCCTTCATGGCACCACCATGTCAACCCTGCCAGTGGCCTCCGCACACTGCGGACCACGCCACCCACCACGGTGAGCACCCACGGCAGCACATGCACCTCTGTTGACCGATGCACGTGAACTCCTAGGGAGTCGCACACACATGTGAAGTCTGAGCCCATCACAGAGCACACACGAGAGCAGGAGTGAGGAAGGAAATGTTGGCAGACTCCTCACGTCTTCGTTCTGCACCCAGAGACACACACGCCCTCCTTAAGGATCTTGGTCCAGTCACTGAAGTGAGAAACTCTGGGTCCCCGCAGACCCGGTTCACCGCAGCGTCCGCAGCCACAGGGTCTGAGCACATTGTGCATGACCTGGGCTCCCGGGAGCGGCCTGGGCCTCCTACCCGGCCACCCTGCCTCACGCCAGGACAGCGCAGCCCAGCCCCGGTTCTCTCTTCCAAGGAAGATCCTTTTATATTTCCGTGTCTCAAAAAACTTCCGCAGGCTCCCATCGGAACAACCCTGGCCTGGCATCCAGCAGCCACATGCTTGGGCCTGATTCTCTGTCCAGCCTCAGTAAATTCGGGAACACTCCACTGCCAGCCTCTCACAGGTGCCATCTCAGTCGGTCCTGCGGTGACCCTGGAGGAGCAGGTACCACTCTGCACACCCCACAGACGAGCAGGCCGGGGCTGCAGGGAGAGGGAGCTTCCGTCCCTGCCTTCCTGCCAGCGTTCCTTCCTATGTTGGCGTCCCCACCCTGCGAGGTCCCAGGACGCATCTTCCCTCAGGAGCTCCTCTGCCTCGCGGGCTCATGCGAGCGAGACCTCTCAGCCTGACTGGTCCATTCCGTGACTAATCTCAGAGCCCGTGGGCCTGGGCCACCAGGCCCCTCCTTTGTCTGCAAACTCAGAGGGTCTGAGACACGCCCAGCTCAGCACCAGCTCCAGACCCTATGGGACAGCGCAAGGTCGGCCACATGATGGAGCACCACATGGCCACAGGACATGGTGGGAGGTGCGGAAGGTGGAAAGAGGCACAAAGACGCTTTCCAAGTGCCCAAAGGAGAGAGACGGAATCAGGACAGTTTGCCTCCAGTGCTGCTGACACCTGCCATGCACGTCAGCATCTTCATCTGATGTCCTCAGGGGAGCCGGCTGCACCTCACACCATCCACTCTGCAAAGCAAAGCAGCCCTGGGAACAGCCCTGGAAAAAGCCCCTTCCCAGCTCCGGGACCCCCGCTCACAGCCAGGGCCGGCCAGTTCCACAGCTACCCGGACGTAGATACAGCACACAGGCACTCATGGGTTCCTAAGATCAGCCTGGTGACCTCATCGGCTCAGCTCTTGCCACACAGACATACACAGGCCATCTGGAGCTGCACGGGACGCTGAAACCACCACTGAGGGCAGGCGAGAGCCAAATCAAGAACCAAGGGGGCCGGCACAGGAAACAGGCCCCAGCACATGTGGGAGAAGGAACACCAGGGAGGCTCAGAGAGAAATCCAGTGACACACCACGTGGACTCCCTCCAATGGCCTCTAATGGCGCAGACCACGAGGGTGGACGACAGCCAGGACACCTCCGCCTGGCCCACCTCACTCGCTGAGCCCCCCGCCCCGCCTCACTCGCTGAGCCCCCCCGCCCCGCCTCACTCGCTGAGCCCCCCCGCCCCGCCTCACTCTCTGAGCCCCCCCGCCCCGCCTCACTCGCTGAGCTCCCCCCCGCCTCACTCGCTGAGCCCCCCCGCCCCGCCTCACTCGCTGAGCCCCCCCCGCCTCACTCGCTGAGCCCCCCGCCCCGCCTCACTCGCTGAGCTCCCCCCCCCGCCTCACTCGCTGAGCTCCCCCCCCGCCTCACTCGCTGAGCCCCCCCGCCCCGCCTCACTCGCTGAGCCCCCCGCCCCGCCTCACTCGCTGAGCCCCCCCGCCCCGCCTCACTCGCTGAGCCCCCCCCGCCTCACTCGCTGAGCCCCCCGCCCCGCCTCACTCGCTGAGCTCCCCCCCCCGCCTCACTCGCTGAGCTCCCCCCCCCGCCTCACTCGCTGAGCCCCCCCGCCCCGCCTCACTCGCTGAGCCCCCCGCCCCGCCTCACTCGCTGAGCTCCCCCCCCGCCTCACTCGCTGAGCCCCCCCCGCCCCGCCTCACTCGCTGAGCCCCCCCCGCCCCCCCCGCCCCGCCTCACTCGCTGAGCCCCCCCGCCCCCCCCCCGCCCCGCCTCACTCGCTGAGCTCCCCCCCCGCCTCACTCGCTGAGCCCCCCGCCCCGCCTCACTCGCTGAGCTCCCCCGCCGCCTCACTCGCTGAGCCCCCCGCCCTCCCACCGGCAGCCCTGGGCGGGCGCCTTTGACTTCAAGGGTCCGGAGTGGGGGCTCTGTCCTCTCCTCTGACGACCGCTGCGTGGCTCTTGCATAACCTCCCCTTTCCCCCACAACACGAACCTCAGTTTTGAGTCTCACAGGAATAAAGCCACATGAAAGCAAAAACTTCTTAAAACTGAGTTGGGCAATATATTTCAGTGAAAAGGGATAAATCTTCAGACTCCAAGACGCCTTCAGCTGGACAGGAGGGTCAGTTTTGAAGTCTGAAGTTTTAAATACTTGCAATGTCACTGTGTCTTCACATTTTTATGAGCTGAAACTGGGACGGGAGAAGTCACATATTTACGTGGATAAAAATCTTGTAACTGGCACATGATTACAAGTCTTTAATTTTAGAAGTACTTCACTTAATTTTTTAATAGGTAACACAGAAACAGAACAAAATCCACAACATTCAAAAGGATTTAAAATCCCTTCGAGAAGGGATCCCTGCCCCTGCCACCTCATTCCCGACGTGGGGTCACTTCTGTCACCAGCCCCCAACCTTTCCTTCTAGAAGCCAGCCACATTCAACAATGGGGACCGTGGACATTTGAAGCATGCGTGTTCGTATCTCCAGATGCTGACCTGAGAGAATGCCTGATCTAAAAGCCACGGCGTCTACTTAAATTTCTCTGATGTGCCTAATCCACAGGGTTGTCCCCATCTATTTGAGTCACACCGAAAAGTTTACCGAACACTCTGGGCCTCCCTTTCTCACTTGGGCAAAGGCGGCTGCCTTCTCACCACGAGAGGCCGGAAGGGTCACTTTCTTCTGCTGCATCTGTGCTGGCCAGGCCCGTTCAGAAAGGAGGAGCCAGGGGTCTGGAGGGCATCAGACGGGGGACCAGCTGCAGAGGGACCAGAAAAAGGGGAAACAGCCACAGGACACAACTGAGCAAGAGCTGCCCGAGACAGGGAATGCGGCTGAAATGCGCGCGCCTCCCTCTGACCCCACCTGTGTCCCAGCCAGGGCCACGAGGAAAAAACAAAGGCCATACAGATCCCAAAGGAAGAAATAAAAGCCTTTATTCATAGAATGTACAAAAAAAAATCTACAGGCAAAGCTAATAGAACTAATTGGTGTGTTCAGCAAGAACAGAGAACACAAAGTCAGTGTGGAGACGTCGACTGCGTTTGTACATACAAGCAATGACCATGAAAATTACACAAAAACAGCACCTTTCACAAAATTATGCTTTTAGGTTTGTGCTTTTGGTGGACTACCTCAGAAATCTTTAACCACTCCACTAAACACATAAAACACAGGGAAATAAATGTTTTTAAATGTGCAAAATGTGTAGGCTGAAAACACATCACAAAACACTGATGAGAGAAATTGGAAAGACCCAAGCGTGTAAAGATATACCATGTCCATGGATTTGAAGACTCAGTTTTGTTAAGATATTAATTCTCCCCAAATTAATCTATAGATCAATGTAATCCCAGTCAAAATTCCTGTGGGACTATTTTGGAAATTGAGAAGCTCATTCAAAAGTATATATGGCAATTCAAAGCATCTAGAATAGAAAAACAAGTTTAAGAACAAATTTGATGATCTTACACTACAATGTAAGACCTGCTATGAAGCTATAGTGATCAAGACTGCGTGGTATTGGCATGAGGACAGGTGGATCAATATGACACACAGCAGGCGAGCCCCAAATTGGGGCTTAGCCTCAGAGGGTCTGTAGCTTCACTCAGGAAAGAATTCGAGAATGAGGTGGTGGTGGAAGAAAACAGTTTTATGGAGGCGGCAGTGGCAGCTCTGAAACTGCTCCTGCACAGCAGGACTCCCCACGGGCGGGGTGTTGACAGTCTCAGCCGTTCCTGCAGAGAAGGGTTCCCCATAGGCAGGGTGTTGAGAGTGGCACCTCCGGGCACTGCTGCAGTCTTATTTATCCTCACTTTTAACTATATGTCAATTAAAAGATTATGCAGACATTTCTAGAAAAAGGGTGGTAATTTCCGAGTCACGGGGTTGTTCCTATGGAAAGGGGTGGTAACCTCCAGGCGTTGCCATGGCAATGGTAAGGTGACATGGTACACTGGCAGGCGTGTCCGATGGAAAGCTGCTTCCACCCATCCCTGTCTCAGCTAGTCCTCAATTTGGTTCGGTGTCCGAGCCCTGCCTTCAGAGTCCAGTCCCGCCTCCTACCTCAGATGGAAGAGAATACAGAGGCCACAAACAGACCCACACAATGCAGCCAACTAAGCTGTAAATGTGCCAAAGTCATCAACGGAGGAAGGGTCGTCTTTCAGCCAAGGGTGCCGGAACAAAGGGATGTCTACATGGAAAAAACAGAATCCCGACCCTTTTCTTTGTGCTATAAGTGAAAATTAGCTTGAAACAGATCATGGAACTAAATGTGAACGCTGAAAGCACATGCTTTCCAGGAGAAAACCGCCACAACCGTGGAATAGGCAAGACTTTCTTAGACATGACACCACAGGTACAAATCATACAAGAAAAAAATGTGATAAACTGGACCATCGAAATTAAAAACTTCTGTTCTTCAAAGCCAATGGTAAGAAAATGAAATACAAGCCACAAACTGGAAGAAAATATTTGCAAAGCACACTTGTGATAGACTCGTATCCAGAATATACAGGGAACTTTAAAAAGTAACAAGAAAACAACCCAATTAAAAGGGCAAAAGATTTGAACAATGTACTAAAGAAGGAATGGAGCTGTCACTAAGCCCAAGAAAAGGTCCTCGACGCCACTCTTCACGGACACGCAATAAAAGCCACAGTGAGACAGTACACACCTATGGGAGTGCAAACGGTAACTAGAGAATAAAAACTCACAGTCCTAAGGGCCGGGCAGGATGCGAAATACCTGCTGCTCTCACCCGCTGCTGGAGAGAAGGCAGACTGGGTGACCACTTGGAGACACGGTTGGGTAGTTTTAATGAAAGTAAACACACACCCTACAGTGACCCAGCAACCTCGCTCCCACGCATTTATCTCAGAGTAAGAAACAGAAACATTGTCCACACAAAGACCTATCCGAGAATGTTTACGGTGACTTTATTCATAATTCCTGAGGATTAGACACAATCCAGAGGGTGGATGAGGCGGCTGAGCTGTGTCTGTATGATGGAAACCCACGGGCAGTGGAAGGGGGCGGCCTGGCTCACAGCCGCACAGCGCGGGACCAGCGCAGTGGCAGAGGGCACGGCCCCTCCAGGGTTTGAGTCACGTGGCCTCCTGGAAAAGGCAACTGTGGGAACAGGCCTCAGAGCAGTGGCTGCCCGGGGCTGTGGGCCAGGGTAGGAAATCCACCCCAAAGGGGCCCAAAGGAGTGTTCCGGGCTGTGGGAACATATCTTAGCTGTGCTGCTGTCTACACAACTGCATACACTGGTGAAGGCTACACCTAACAGTGAACTTTACCATATGTCAGTTGCAGACCACCTGATTTATACACAAAGAACGGAGGTCTCGGCCGGGCGCGGTGGCTCACGCCTGTAATCCCAGCACTTTGGGAGGCCGAGGTGGGCGGATCACGAGGTCAGGAGATAGAGACCACCTTGGCTAACACGGTGAAACCCCGTCTCTACTGAAAATACAAAAAATTAGCCGGGCGTGGTGGCGGGCGCCTGTAGTCCCAGCTACTCGGGAAGCTGAGGCAGGAGAATGGCGTGAACCCGGGAGGTGGAGGTTGCAGTGAGCCGAGATCGCGCCACTGCCCTCCAGCCTGGGCGACAGAAAGAGACTCCGTCTCAAAAAAAAAAAAAAAGAAGAAGAAAAGAATGGAGGTCTCACTGCACCCCCACCCCATTGGGAAGCCTCAGAGAGTCTCTAGGGGCTGGAGGGGCAAATGGAGGGGGACATGGTGCTACCAGAGCCGGGGCCCAGAGGAAGGTGGAGGCCTAGCGGGAAAAGGAGGGAGGCGCCAGGATCGGGGGCGGAGACCCCAATGCTCCTGACAGCACCGAGCCGGGCCTCGCGCATTTCCGTGGTTCCCGCATCCCAGCTGCGGGGAGCCATAGTTTCCGGTCTGTGCTCTGTGAGGGCAGCGCCCGGCAGCCGAGTCCAGGCAGAGGCCGCCTCCCTGCGCCTGGAATCCCGAAGGAGCCTGCGCCCCGTGTGTCCCGCAGGTCACGGCCCTGCAGCTGGGAGCCCGGCTTGACTGACAGTTCCCGCCGGCAGCAGCGCTCTGTGGGCCATGGACCCAGGGACAGAGGAGGCTACGGTCACGCCGCCCGGGACCCGCCGACACTGGACACTTCTCCTGCTCCTGCTGTGGCGGGAGCTGACTGCAGCCGGTGGAGGTGCCGGGGTGGGCTGGGGAGGGCTGAGGGCAGGCCTTTATTTCCCCAAGTCTCACTTGCCGGGGCGCCGTATCCCGGCACGGCTTCAGCTGCCTTTCTCGGTTTCTGTCGCCACCGCCCTCCCCCTCCAGGCTGAAGATGCCCTCCCGTCCCCAACCCACACCCCCGACCCCATAGGAATGCACCCCCACTTCCTTCTGGCACCTGCCAGTGCACCTCTCACTCCTGGACCTGAACTTGCAACTGAGCACAGCTGTGGCTGCCCCAAGGGAAACTTGCTGGCAGGTGGGGTTTCCTCAGGGCGTGGGCGGCTGCTAGAAACGAGAACCAGGAGAACCACGCAGCCAGGAAGCCAGTGGCCACCGCGCACTTCCACCCAGAAACGCATTCCCCAGAACCTGGTGTTTCATGCCCGGTAACAACATAATTACCATCATAAAGATAAATCGTTACCGGAGATCCAGACAGCCACCCATTTTCATAGCTGCGAAAGCCACAGTGAAACATCTAAGTCCAGTCACCATAATCGTAAAGCCACCAAGAACTACTAGCAGACGACGTCAACAGAATGATTAATAAACATCTTATTTGGTTATTTTCAGAGCATATAACTCCAGAACTAACTTGATCAGCTTCTCTTACTAAAATGTGCAAAAATTTTTTAAATTTCTTTTTCCTTAGGGTTGTCGCTCAAAAAATGTCTCATACACCTTCGAGAACGAATCAAGTCCCTGTGGATTCTCGAGTATAAACGGAGCTGGTGACGAGGCCTGACACACGGTCACACCTCAATTCGCGCGTGGCGCCCGGCACAGGCTGAGCCCCGCCAGATACACCATTAGCCTCCGCTGAATAATCTGGATTCCATGCCTCCCTTTCTTCTGAGAACACCCTTGGAGGCCCCTGGCAGGGGCTGAGAACACAGGAGCGAGACACAGGCCTGCCCTGCAGGACCATGGGCTCCAGGAAGCTCTGTCCAGTGGACACAGCACAACAGGCAAGAGAACCACAACCAACGAGTGGGGCAGGGGAGGCAGGTCACGGAGGGCAGCCCACCCATGCCGCGGGGTCGGAGGCCATCTCCTGCAGCAGGCCCCAGTCCCAGAGGTGGGCATGGCAGGACATGGGGATGGAGAAGGAGGTGCCTCAGGAGTGGGGTGCACAGCGGCTGAGCCCGGAGGCAGGAGGGAGAACTGCCAGCCACTAGCCCTGGAGCCGATGCCCTGGTCAGAGGGAGAGAGGAAGAGGGAACCCTTCCGCAGCACCCAGCTTGAACGCGACATAAAGCTATGGGCCTGAACCTGAGGGCCTCCCAGGCAGACACTGAGCAAGGGGGTGCAGGGGTCACGCTGGACCCTCAAGACCATCTCACCGACAAGGCTCCATGAAGCCCAGCACAGCAAGACCCTGAAGGGGGGTCAGGTGCCCGCTGCACTCAGACACCTTCTGCAGCCGCATTTCAGGGCCAGGGTGTCCGCTGCGGAAGCACCCAGCACAGTGTTCCCGCTCAAAATGAAGTCAAATGTCAATTATCTGAGATCCATGTGACCCATTCCATGTATTTTCTAAACAAACTCTGGAGACTTCTATGAAAAACACAGCAGTTTCTAAGAATAATCACTTGGGTACAGTGAACAACAGTCCCAAAAATGTCCGGGTCCCGACCCCTGCAATGGTGAGGGGGCACTGGCCTTATCAATGCCAGGTGAGGCCCTGCCCGGCCCCGAGGGCCTCTCACCCAGCCAAGCCCCTCTCAATGCCAGGCAGAGAGCAAGACTGGTCAGGATAGGCATCTCATCTCTGTCAGGGGACTTGCTGTGGAGGCCCGGGACATGGCAGAGTGCAGACAGCCTACGCGTTACCTACTAGCCCGTTTCTCTCATGCCCCCTCTCTCTCTCAACGTCGTGCTGACACACACTAGCTGCCGGCCGCCCAGTGGGGACAGGCTGGGTTTTAGGACACTCAAGCTCTGAGGTGGACCTTTGGCCGTGCCTCTCACTTCTGTGTGCCAAGCACTGGGAATGGATCAGATCACAGATCCTGGTCCATGGCTCACAAACAGAGGAACAGGGACGATGAAGAAAGCCCACAGCTGAGGGACACAGGTGAGCGCTGGGGAAAGGGGGCAGCCGGCGTGGGGTGGAGCGGCCGTGACACGGTGTGAGGAGCCAGTGTGAGCAGCGAGCGTCAGATGGACCGGGACCCCGCCCACGCACAGCACCCTCGTGGCCTCGCTGGCCTCCTGCACCCCCGGGCCCTCAGGCTGCCTGGGGCCAAGCTGGGGGTCCCCCTGGGGGACTCCTCCTCTCGCCCTGTCCCACTCAGCATCCCGGCAGCCATGAAGACGAGGAGCCTGCACCACCTGGGGTCTGGGTTCAGGCTGTGGCAGCCAGTACACACTGGCTCCCCGGCCGCCCGTCCTGGGCGTGAGCTCAGGCGCCACAGGACCCCTCCTCCCTTCCTGGCTCTCCCAGCGTCACGGCGGGAATTAGCCTGATCCCTCAGCCTCCCACGCCTGCTGCGTGAGGTCTGCTCCTGACGGGGTCCTCTGGCTGCATTTAGGAACAAGGAGCTCCCCGAGTAACCTGAAGTCCACTCTGCCCAGAGGCCCCACAACTTACAGGATGCCGCCTTCCTGTGATACCAGGCAGGGCTGCCCATGAGCTTTCTCCAAGAGCAGCCCCACCCCTGCTCCAAACACACCATCTCCTGGAAGTAACAGTATTGCCCCAAAAACCAGGGGGAAACTGAGGCAACATGCCCCCACCCCCACCCGCCCTTCCTGTGCCCACACTGTGGGGACTAAAGTTGGGACAGGGACAGCCAAGACGTGGTGAGGAGGGAGGCCCCACATCCATGCAAAGGTCCCCCCACAGATGCCCCGGGGAACAGCCCTGGGAAGTTGTCTGAAGAGGGCCAGAGATGCTGTGCTCTTGCCTTGAGGGGCCATGGAAGCCTCGACTGGCAGTGCTCACTGACCTGAGCCTGGTGTGATGCTCTAGCAGGGACCACAGATGCCAGGCCAGATCCCAAGAGCAGATCAGGAGGAACACCCAGGGCTGCTGTGACCTCAAGCCCTGCAGCGACCCCTCAGCACCATCCAGCCAGGCTCTGGACTGAAATGCTAATACTCGCCTGGTACAGAACAGGCAGAAAAGGGGAAGTAAATGCTCATTCATCACCTACCTATGATGGAATCCCTCCGGAAAACGTCTCTATCGAAAATGTAGAAGGACAGGTGACGAAAGCTCCGAGGAATTTCACAGTAAAAGTCTTCTCCGTAAAACGGGCTAGTGAGACAAAGAAAAGCGCCAGTTAGAACACAGGCCACGCTTGCGCCTCACCCCCGGGGCACACACGTGTGGTCTTAGTTTTAAACATGCCATAAGAATGCCCTGCACTGTGTGGCACGCATGAGACATGAACCTGCAGCTCCCTGTGGGGTGAAGGGCCTCGTAGCTGCTCCCCGGCCTCCACCTCGAGCCTTTGCACTGCACAGATGAACTTCTGTACTGGGCTGCCTGGCGGCCCGGAAGCTGAGACCTCCACAGAGACCACGGCCACTGCCAGAATGACTTCCATGCTACGTGCTCAGGTCTAGGTGCAGCCTCAGGGCCATCGTGATGTTTCGAAGGTACCTGGTTTGGGGCAGGCAGTGGCTCCCTTTATGCATTAAACATAAAACACAGCACTCCAGTGCCTTGGACCGCTCCTTTTATCCAGAGATCCAGTACAAAGTCCTGACTGCCCAGCCGCCCTCACTCCTCGGGGAGAGACCCCCGCTGCTGACTGTACTTAGAGTCCTCGCTCCTGGGGGAGAGGCCCCCGCTGCTGACTGTGCTTAGAGTCCTCGCTCCTGGGGGAGAGATCCCCGCTGCTGACTGTGCTTAGAGTCCTGGCTCCTGGGGGAGAGACCCCCGCTGCTGACTGTACTTAGAGTCCTCGCTCCTGGGGGAGAAATCCCCACTGCTGACTGTGCGTAGAGTCCTCGCTCCTGGGGGAGAGACCCCCGCTGCTGACTGTGCTTAGAGTCCTGGCTCCTGGGGGAGAGACCCCCGCTGCTGACTGTACTTAGAGTCCTCGCTCCTGGGGGAGAAATCGCCACTGCTGACTGTGCGTAGAGTCCTCGCTCCTGGGGGAGAGACCCCCGCTGCTGACTGTGCTTAGAGTCCTGGCTCCTGGGGAAGAGACCCCCACTGCTGACTGTGCTTAGAGTCCTCGCTCCTGGGGGAGAGGCCCCCGCCGCTGACTGTACTTAAAGTCCTTGCTCCCGGAGGAGAGGCCCCTGCTGCTGACTGCCCAGCCGCCCTAGCTCCTGGGGGAGAGGACCCCGCTGCTGACTGTGCTTACAGAGTGCATGGCTCAGGCCGCCCATGCGTGAGTCACCAGGAGATGCAGCCGCCCCACAGAGGAGACTTGAAATAACCACAACCCCAATAAAGAAGCAGAAGCCAGTGGGCTTTGCCATTCAGCAAACCTTCCTGTTGTCCTGGGCTGGCACAGGTGGGGTTAGTTTCCTCCCCACGCCGGACCTGTTGGCGATTACTGCGGTGCACGCACAGCTACCACCAACTCAGAACTTAAAACAAGCCCACTTTCATGCACATTGATGCTAAGGTCCAAAATAGGAAAGATGTAAGTTATTCAAGGAGGAACCATTCTGATAGAAAGCAAAGGAAGGTCAACGTGCTGGGCCAGGGGGCGTCCACACAGTCACCAACGGCACAGGCCCCACCCCAGCCACACACAGAAATGAGCTCAGACCCCGCACCCATCTGTAAGGGTGTAAGGGTTGGAGCTACTAGCCTCTCAGAAGAAAATGAGAATGAACCTGCACCCTAAAGTCAGGTAAAGATGTCTTAGATCTGTCACCAAAAGCACAAGTGCCAAAAGAAAAATAAATGGAAAATCAAACTTCATCAAAATTAAAAACATTAAAAACTTTTTTGCATTAAAAGCATTATTTAAAAAGTGAAAAGGGCCAGTGCTGTGGCTCACGCCTGTAATCCCAACACTTTGGGAGGCTGAGACTAACGAATCACCTAAGATCAGGAGTTCGAGACCAGCCTGGCCAACATGGCAAATCCCCATCTCTACTAAAAATACAAAAATTAGCAGGGCATGGTGGTGGGCGCCTGTAGTCCCAGCTACTCGGGAGGCTGAGGCAGGAGAATCGCTTGAACCTGGGAGGCAGAGGTTGCAGTGAGCCAAGATTGCACCACTGCACTCCAGCCTGGGTGACAAGAGCAAAACTCAGTCTCAAAAAAATAATAAAAATTAAAAAAATAAAAAGTGAAAAGACAGACTAGAAAAAATATTAGTAAGTCAGTTATCTGATAAAAGACTTATATACAGAATATATAAAGAACTCTTATGACTCAATAAATGATGACAAATAATTCAGTTTAAAAAGGGGCAAAAGATTTGAACACACATATCACCAAAGACAAATGGCCAACAATGTATTAAAAATGCTCCATGTCATTAGCCCTTGAGAAAATGCAAATTAAACCAGGAGATACGGCACAGGCATAAGCCCAAACCTGGGGCGGGCGACTGTTGCTGCCCGGAGCCCAGGTGGGAGGGGCCCAGAGTCCAGGTGGGAGGGGCCCAGAGTCCAGGTGGGAGGGGTCCAGAGTCCAGGCCCCACCCCTTCTCCCTGCAGCGGCCTTAATGACAGGCATTTCATTTGGATTTCACTGATTTCAGTATTTTTATAACTGGGTCAGAGACTGGGTAACATTTACTCAGAAAACCATTTTTTGTCATAAAACAATCTTCCAAGGGAAGCCTAAAATGCCTAGGTTGTTTTAAGCATTTTGGAAACACAGCAGTATCCATTTACACACAAAAGAAACATCACTTTATCTTTCAATGAAGGCAGAATGCTCAGGGACTTCCACCGACTCCATTGTAGCAGCATCCTGGTTAATGAAGGCCCATTAGAAAGTCACGTTTCCTTTAAACACATTCTCGCGTTGGTCGTTGACGCAGCGAGCCATCCTCTGATCTCCTGCGTCTGCGTGGGCACCGCCGAGATCTGATGTCAGGGACCCCCAGGGGTGTGTGTGCCCACAGGCATGTGTGTGTGGGTGTGTGCACGTGTGTGCCCATGGGTGTGTGCACGTGTGTGCCCATGGGTGCGTGTGCCCACAGGCATGTGTGTGGGTGTGTGCATGCATGTGCCTGTACGTGTGTGCCCACAGGCACGTGTTTGTGTGTGCATGTGTGTGCCCGTATGTGTGTCCCCACAGGCAGGTGTGCATGTTCATGTGCATGTGTGTGCCCACAGGCACGTGTGCATGGGTGTGTGCATGCATGTGCCATGCATGTGCCCATACATGTGTGCTCACAGGCATGTGTGCATGTTCATGCGTGCATGCATGTGCCCTGGAGCACTTGGGTGCACATGTACACAAAGGCACCACAGATGCGCCCCACACAATGCGCTGCTTTCATAACAAGGCGCAGGGGTCGTGACCCTGCCTCCACCCTGTGTAAAGTCACAGCTGCAGGATCTCGGGGCAGGACGCACACTCCCCAGGCAGCGCCCTGTGGCCTCCCTGGAGAAGCTTGGTGCTCTGCGGACAGCGTCCCCACTGGCAGGAAAAACCACTATCAACCTCGAAGCCAAAAGGGACACCAGACGTGCATTTTAATATTCACGACAAGGCCTCAGGTGACGAGCTACTCACAGGACAAGCGTTAACAATTAATAGTAATCCACAAAACATTTGGGATTTTTACAACGACAAAACGGCCTCTTCTGTACGTCCTAGAGCAACTTTCAGGGCCACTGAGGCCTAAGTGATGGCAGGAAGCCGTGGTGTTTGAATGTGTGAAAGCAGCCTGGACTTGGCGTTTCCAGCCCCGTTCGCTCCCGGCAGAGCCCCAAGAACCAAGGGCTGGAGGCTTCACTTCCTGCTCCAGAGTGGCAGGTGCCCAGGCTGTCCTGGCTGCGGTGCATCTCACACAAGAAGCCCAGCGGGAGCACGCACAGCTCTGGGCCTTGCGGCAAATGCGTAACCAAAAGGCGTAAATCAAGCTTCGTTCACCATGGAGGAACCTCAGAACCACCGGCACCGATAGCCAAGCTGCCAGAGAATGGAACGGACGCCCTCCATTGGCACAAACTCCAGCAGCCGGCTTGTCAGGAAGCTGCAGCAGCTTCAGAGCAACCCAGGCCTCGGGGTTCACCTGGCGCGTCACCGTTTCCCGAGAGCCCCCCGCCCCCGCACAGGCACTGAGGACCCCACCACATGGGCCTGTGCCTGCCTGGCAGGAAGGCAGGGAGGAGGAAGTGGGTCGGGCTGGATTGCATGTCTGATGTGTGTCCGATGAATGTCCAGTGCGTGTCCAATGCGTGTCTGGTGAGTGGTGAGTGTCTGGTGTGTGTCTGATGTGTGTCTGATGCATATTTGGTGCGTGTCCGGTGCGTGGTGAGGGGCGGTGAGATGAGGATGCCAGCGCTAAGCACACCCCACAAACGGGCGCCGCGCACCTGGCATTTAACCCTGCACACTTCCTCACCACCCTGATGCACAGGGTGGGAAACCGAGGCACTCCAACATCTGATGAAACGAAACTAACCCCAGGGCTTGGGCAGCAGGGCTGAGAGTGCGGCGTCCCTGGGCGCTGCCCGGTAGCGGGGTGTTCAGTTGCTCTGCCAAAGGCTCTGCACAAGTGGCTCCTCTCTCTGTAACTCTGCTTGGCAGTGGGGGGCTCGGTGGGGGGAGGCCCGTGCTGGCTGGGCACCTGGGAGGGTCCCGTGAGGCTTCTGGTGGTGCTGACAGCTGTCCGTGGAAATTGAGGTGCTTAAAATTCATAAATAAACCAGAAATCCATTCAATAAAAAGAGATAAAAATAGCAGAAAGAGGAAGCTACAAGAAAACATACGAACTCCATAAAATTATCACCACAGACTGGACGTGCCCCTTTCTAAATGTAAAAGCGGTTTATAGCAACACAGCATGGCCCTGCTGCACTACCCCTGGGGAGCAAGACCTCCTCCAGCCTCCACCCAGGAATTTCTCCAGCAATGGCTTTAGAACCTTGCTCCTGAATCGCAGCAGGGGAGGCAGCGCTTTGGGGCCCTCTGTCAGGCTGCCCCCCCTGCTAAGAGGAGCTGTTGTCCTTGGGAACCACGGGTCCCCCCTCCTGAAGAAGGGGAACGTCACACTCACAGTTCCATTTTACACATTTGCAGCTGAGAACCCTGGAGCCAGAACAGGCTCCAGCACAGGCGATGGGTGAGTGTTTTGCATGTCTGATGTCGTTTATTCTAGTGGTTCCAATTGCCTATTTTAATGTTTTTCTTCTTATTTCATATAACTTTTTAAACTTAAAGTAATAAAGTTATTACTAACTTTGTTTCCTGCGGGTCACCTCAAGTCTTTCAGGAAACCAGGCAGGACATCTGCAGGCGGCCGGCCAGCCTTATCAACGGAGCTCTGAGCCACCAACCACTGTGACCAAGCTTCATTCCCACGAGCTGGACGAGCAGAAGGCATTGCAGGGCAGTGGGGTCCGGAGAGGCGGCCGTGCTACAGGCCTTGCACTCATTTTAATGAAGGCTCTGCAGGATTTCAAGGAAAGCTGGAGCCAGTCTCTGTGCCAGAATAGAGGGTTCGTTCAGCTTCTTAGACCGATGATTTATTTAGGGAATAAGAAGGGCGATTCCAGGGACAGTGGAGGCCCCCACAGGAAGGAAACCTCTCCCCACAATGACTGTGCACAGAGCCAGCCTGACACCCAAGGCCACGATGCCATAGCCAGGGAGCCCTGAAGAAACTCCTGGAAGAATGTAAAACCCCCAGCTCAAGGAGGAGAGTGGAGGCGGTTCCCCACCTTCTGGGGGCAGTTAACCTCTGAGAATGAACCCACAGCTAAAACCCATAAAACCTCCGCCAACCACACCCAGACCTGGAAGGGGCACCTCTGGCCAGGGCGCTCAGCACGAGGGGACCCAGAACAATGGCTTCCCTGGGGTGCGGGCTCGGCCTGCAGGATGGAGGCTGGAGAGCTGCCATCCTAGCGCACACTGGGTAGATGCAGGTGTTTCCAATGTGCTGAAGAGGGCAGGGCCTGGCTGAGGCCCTGGGAGGTCGGAGTCCCGGAGGTGGGTGGGGGTGGTGAGTTCCCAGGTCACTTCCCCAGGTGTGCGTTTTCCTCACTGTCCTGTCCTATTCATTCATTTTAGCACGGAGGCCAGAACCAGCCGAGTGAAGCCCCTGCCTGACCACTCAGGGGTGTGAGGACAGGGGCGAGGACCGGGATCATCAGTCAGCTCCTAGAATGGCAGGTTTGTACCTGCAAACGGAGCACCAGAGTGACATCCCCCCAAGACCCCCGAGATGCCATGAGCCCCATGGAGACCACCCACCCGGCAGGGGCCAGCTCCAGGTGCTGCTGCTGCGGCGAGGCCGTCACCACCATCCACGCGTCCAGCAGGAAGAGCGGATTCCTCGGGCGTGAGGCTCACCACTCACGTTGTCTGCACACCTGCCTGACGACCTCTCCCGAACCTGGATTCCCACCACAGAATTCAGCTCCTCGGGTGCTCACCAGCCCGTGACTTGTGGTCACCAGACCGGACGGAAAACACAGAGACCATTTCCTGTTTTGCAGAAAATCCTGTTGGGCCATGCCAGTCCTAGAGCCAAAACACGGTGTCCACTTGAGGGTCCAGACCTGAGGCCACCCTTGCTGGGACAGCATCTCCTTCCCTCTCAGAGCAATGCCACTGATGCCCAGACCAGCAACCATGCCCGTCCTCGCCTGCCCGACAATGCCCTTCCCAGGCCCTGCTCCTCGGAGGACTGGTCATGGGCACCCTGGACTATGCCGACCCGCAGTCCCCAGGGACCAAGTCCTGCTGCTGTGGACACAGGTGACCCTGCCCCTCGCAGGGGAGCTGCTCTTCTCCTGAGCCCAGGAGTGCTCTGAAACTTATATCCCAATGAGAACCAAAATCAGGAGTAGAAGTGGGAGTTGAAGGCCAGAGCCTTTTTCGAAGAACTTCCCTAAGCTCTTTTAAATACCTGCATCCAGGCCAGATGCAGTGGCTCACGCCTGTAATCCCAGCACTTTGGGAGGCCATGCCAGAAGCGCCACTTGAGCCCAGGAGTTAGAGATCAACCTGGGCAACATAGCAAGACCCCAACTCAACAGAAAATTTAAAAATTAGATGGGTTTGGTGGCGCACGTCTGCAGCGAAGCGGAGGATTGCTTGAGCCCGGGGTTCCAGGCTGCAGTGAGCTGTGATCACAGCACTGCACTCCTGCCTGAGTGACAGGGCGAGATCCTGTCTCAAAAAACCAAACACCTGCATCTCCTGCATCTTCAGAGCACAGTCCCGCCTGGAGGAGCCGCCGTCAGGCCCTCCTGCATCTTCACAGCACAGTCCCCAGGTGCAGCTGCTCCCCCCAACCTAATTCAGGCCCTGGTAAGCTTCACAAGGCCAAGGGGACGTTGGTCTCCACCAGGAAGACTATATGGCACGTCTAAATGTAAGAATCTGTGACAGACGTCGCTGAAGCCAATGCGAGGAGGCGCAGGTACCCAGGAGGCACAGGTACCCAGGAGGCACAGGTGCCCACACGGGCCTTGCCGGGGGAAGCACGACTTTGAAGATGGGGACGTCCACGTTTCAACGCTGCCTTGCCAGAGGCCAGTTCCCTCATCTCTCAGCCTCAGGACACCGCCCTCTCCACAGTGCAGCCTGCGGGCACAGAGGGCGCTCGGCTGGGGAAGGGCAGTGGCTCTGCCCCCAAAGCGGCCTCCCCAGGACACACCACTGCCTGGCTTGGAGGTTTCTTCCTCTGCCCTGCACAGTGAGACAAGCACATGGCAGGGCCTCCCACACACCAGGACCAAACAACGGGGAGCACTTTCGATGTCTTTGGCCCCCGCCAGGCGTGGCTCACTGGACCCAGAAACCACAGCGCTCTCTCTCTCCATGACTGTTTCAGCTGCCCATCCCCGTTCTAGACTGTGGGAATAGCAGCCAATGAAGCAAAGTCCTGGCCCCATGGAGCCAGCCAAAGAGCACACAGAACCACGAATGTCCAACGCGGGCAAGGCTGGCGGGGGCAGCACTGTGGCCTCGCTCGGGGGACAGGGAGGCTTACGGACGAGTGAGCGCTTGAACAGCGCTGTGGACGGTGAGGAGACCCGCAGGAGGACAAGGGAACGCATGAATGAGGCCATGGACGGCGCGGAGAGCGCAGGAGGGGTCTAGGCAGAGGGACACCAGGTGCGAAGGCCTCGAGGCAGCAGGGCTTGTGTGTGGTAAAGACGTAGGAGCAAGGAGAAGGCTGACGTGGCCTGGGCAGGGCACGGCAGGACCGGAGCATGCTGGGAGCCGAGGTCAGAGGTCAGGGTGCAGCCGAGGTCACGTGGTGCAGAGCAGACATTTCACCACAGCAGCTGGGAATATGCAGGCCCGTGCAAGACACTGGATGGACGGATGCACGGATGGGGCAGTGGGCATGCAGGGAGGAATCACCTGTCTCAGGTCAGCAGCCAGGAGCTGCCCAGACCTGGCACAGTGGACCAGGAAGGGAAGGTCACCCAAGCCTCCACAGGTGGGGCTTTCTGCAAGCAAGGTGCAGCGGTCAGCCCGAGAGGCCACGGTGCCGAGCAAATCCTGGTTGTCCTCATGGGGACGACAGGAATTCAGTTCTGGCAGAGCCAAGACTGCCGGGAAGCCAGAGGGGCTCCTGCAGGAGGTGACGGGCCTGCGGGGACGCGAAGGGCCAGGACCGGACACGCCCCGTTCCGCTCTGCTTCCAGTGAGGCGAGAGGCGGGCAGGACGCAGCTGGAGCCGCGCACGCCCGGAGCTCAGGCCAGGACTGTCCCCCAGCGCTGCGCTCGCCCGCGGTGGAGCTGCAGTGTTATCAGTGGTCAGCTCAAGTCCAGTGGCTTGAAAGGGAGGCAGAGGCCTCACCTTCCCTGAGGCTCCCTGTGAAGAGCAGGAGGCTGGGCCCTCGGGAAGACCCCAGCCAGGCTCTGCCACCTCCACAGCCGGGAGACGGGGCCTCCAAAGCCGGCAGACGGAGCCCCCACAGCCGGCAGACGGAGCCCCCCACAGCCGGCAGATGGAGCCCCCCACAGCCGGCAGACGGAGCCCCCCACAGCCGGCAGACGGAGCCCCCACAGCCGGCAGATGGAGCCTGGGCACTGCACACAGAGACATTTCTTCTTCCCGAGACCTCGCACAGAAATTACTCACTTAAAAGCACTTAGAGTTTTTTCATTTTTTCAGTGGCAAATATTTCGAGGGAATACCACAGAAATAGCCACACCAAAACCCAACTCAGTTCTCCCTTCTCCACCCCCGCCACGGCCGGGGACGCTGCCTCGATGCGCGGGGCTCCCTCCGCCATGGCCGGGGACGCTGCCTTGATGCGTGGGGCTTGGGTTCTTCAGGTCTCTTGATGTTTTTCCTCTTAGAACCGCAAACTACGGTTGCCTGAAAAGGTTTCTAAAAACCCCAGGCGCCCAGGCCCACCTCAGAGAACGGCTCTTTAAGGGTGATGGGTTATGAAACAGGAGCCCTTTGGGAGGCCAAGGTGGGTGGATCATGAGGTCAAGAGATTGAGAGCATCCTGGCCAACATGGTGAAACGCCGTCTCTACTAAAAATACAAAAAAAAAAAAAATTACTGGGCATGGCGGCAGGCGCCTGTAATCCCAGCTACTCAGGAGGCTGAGGCAGGAGAATCACTTGAACCTGGGAGGCGGAGGTTGCAGTGAACCGAGATCGCACCACTGCACTCCAGCCTGGGCGACAAAGCAAGACTCTGTCTCAAAAAAAAAAAAAAAAGAAAAAGAAAGAAAGAAATACGAGCTTTGAAATCTATACTAGCCATGGAGTCTAACACGATCCTTAAGCGAACTGCTCATTACAAAGCGTGGCAGGCTGCCTTCTCTCCAGAGGGTTTCTGGTGCCCTATCCACGGAGGCGGCAGTGGGATTCAGCCGTCACCTGTGCTTGCGGTGGTAACTCCATCTCAGACTCAACAGGGGACGTGTCTGCACAGAGCACACGGCGCAGGGGTTGGGCGGGGAGGACGGCAAGGTCAAGCCAGCTCAGGGGACATGGTGGGCAGGGGGCTCCAGATCCCACGGTGGGCAGAAAAGGCGGGGGTCGGACTGACGCCGTCCTGGACCATGTCCACGTCTGGGGTCTGCAGGTTCCATCTCCCTTTCCACTGTGCCTAACCTTACATCTATAACCTACATCCAGCAAGACACGATTTTCCACGATGAGTTGATTCGTAATTCCATTTATGTGCAAGTTTTTAGAATTTTCCTGTGGGTTTTTTTTTTACTTACTTATGATTTTAATTTTGTTTGCTTTAAAAAAAACACATGCATAGGAAAGAATGCTTCCTTTCATTTCAATTAAAAACAACAAATTGCTTTTTTTTAAGCAAAAATTCATTGAGGGGGGGCTCGCATTGTACAAAGAAAATCAGACCCACCGGGATGGCTGTGATCAAAGAGACAGTAACAAGGGTAGGGAGGTGGAGATGCGAATCCAAACACACAACTTGTGCAAAGGTCAAGTGGCCACAGCCGCCACGGAAAACAGGCTGGCGGTTCCTCCGACGTTCAACACACAGTCGCCACGGGACACAGTGGTTCCACCCCCAGGTGTGCAGCAATAGACATCACAGCCCACGTCCGCACGCAGACTCGGACACGCGTGCTCACAGCCCACGTCCGCACGCAGACTCAGACACGCGTGCTCACAGCCCACGTCCGCATGCAGACTCGGACACGCGTGCTCACAGCCCACGTCCGCATGCAGACTCGGACACGCGTGCTCACAGCCCACGTTCGCACGCAGACTCAGACATGCGTGCTCACAGCCTCAGTCATGACAGCCAGACAGTGGAAACAAGGCAGGTGGGCCTCGGCTGCTGAGGGAGCAACAGCAGAACGGTGCTCAGCCCTGGAGAGGAAGGACGCCTGGACCCTGGCCCCACACCACAGCATCCACAATGTGGTGCCAACCAACAGGCCACGCACACAGAGGCCATGGGCCAGACGCTTCCACTGACACGAAATGCCCAAGAGAGGCACAGCCGGCGACAGAACGGGGACCCGTGTCTGCCGCCCCAGGAGAGGCTGCAGGCCGGAAACTGGAGGATTACAGGGCGCGAGTGTCGTTTTAGGGAGATGAAAATGTTCTAAAATTGGCTGTGGCAATTGTTGCACAACTCTGCAAATATACTAAAAACCACTGAATTGTACATTTCAAAATGGGTGAATTGTACGGTGCTTGAATTATACCTCAATAAAGCTATTTTTAAAGAAACAAAATTTTAAATACGTAAAAAAATCAGAAAGTGAAATCTGGAATTAACATTCCAGGAAACATCCTCCTGGAGTTTTTTCTCCAAAAATATAAAATAGAATAAAATATATAAATGTTATAGGTTTAAAATATACAAAATATAAATATATTTGTATTACATTTATAACATAAATACAATATTTATAATACAAATATAAGTATATTCATACTATAATGACTCATTATATTATAATACAAATATATTAACAATAATAGTAAATATTTATGTTATAAATATAGAAGATACGAATGGAAATACGGATAAATTTTTTAAATAAAAGTGAGGTTATGTTCCCTGTGACAGAGTCAGCTTTTTCCTTTCACATCAGGCCATGGGCCACTTTCCAAAGAGCTGATAAAACGCTGGGGTCAGACGGCACGTGTGTGCGTGGACAGCAGTGCCAGGTCCCCCTGCCATGTGCACGCTGTGTGGTGGGAGCAGCAGGGGTGAGCACCCTGGGAACGCAGATCTGTGCAGTGGCTGATTGTCCCCGTGGGATAAATTCCTCCAAGGATGTGCACTGTCCTGAGGCCTTTGAAACACAAAGCCACAGAACCCTCCAGGGAGTCTGGACCAGTGTCCACCCCCAGCATACGCCGTCTTATAAATATTTCTACAGTTTGCTAAACCGGTGGCAAAAACCTGCTTAAATTTTAAATGTCTGGCTCATTGGTGAGGTGGAATGTCCATCTTTTTATGAGCAGTTTTAAATCTCATTTTTTCTTGAAATGCTCTGGGCCTGTTTTCTATTAGAATGACCATCTTTTCATGCTCAGGATTTAACCCTCCGGGAACTTCTGAATGTGTGTTGCAACTTAAAAGACATATTATTTCACAACATTTAAGGAGGATCTTTTTTGAACTAAAAAAACCCCCACAAATTTGTTAAATTTGTCACCAGTGGGTGACTATGGACCTGTGATCAGCCAACTCTGAAATGAGCTCCAGCAGATGGACACAGCGTCCCAGGACCTGCAGGAGCAGAGGCTGCGAGGCCAGCCACGTCCACCTCGATCACGTCACCTCGTGGGCAGAATGGCCTACGCCCCATGTCCTCCCAGCCCCACCCAGAACCCACGGTGAGCACCCGGCAGGAAGTGGCCACAGCACCATCACTGGAGGCCACGCGGAGTCTGAGGACAGCAGCTTTCCCCCCTATGCTGTTGTGGGGACTCCAGGCTCAGCCTGAGGACAGGGTCAGTTCCCTCCACACAGCACCAACACTCCCAGGTGCAAAGCCCAGGCCCACGGACAGCCCCCCGCTGTCCGTGGGTCTCATGGTGGGGGCACCCATTTTCTTTCATCAGCAGGAAGGTTTGTGCTTTCTCCTTCCTGGGCAGCAGAGTTTGAAGCGTATTCCAAAAGAAAAATGAAACCGGCTGAACGCTAGGGCATTCCTCCCATCCCCCATCCTGTTCGGTGGCCTGTGCCGGACAATCTCTTCTTTCTGATGGACTCAAAGGGGCCACACAGCCACCAGGTGCCCCCCTTCCCATCAGCAGCTTAACCTCGGGGTATCTCTTGGACAGGCCGGCTTTGTCTCCAGCCGAGGTCAGCAGCAGTCAGATGCGGGATGAATGCCTGGCCCAGGCGGCCCCCACTCACCGCCCGAGGGCTCTGGAACTCTCTTTCCAAATAAAGAAAAAGTGCGGCCTGAGAGGACCAGGCTCGCCTGAAATCCTGCCATGTGGCCTAAGGAAATTAACGCACGCAGCAGCCTCTCCCTCTGAGGCAGAGACCCTGGCAAAGTCTCCTTTCCCTCAGTCATTTCTGGAAGAAGTGCAAATGAAGTTTCACAGAATCAAGCAAACTTTCACGGGGAAAAAAGAAAAAACCTCTTGCAGAAAACAGAGTTGACCTTTAAGTAGTGGCTCTGATGAGGGGAAACCATCTGAACTGAATTCCTCCTCCTCCTGGAGCCTGGAGCAGGGGCTCAGCTGGGACCAGCAGAGAAACCCCCGCCTTCTCCTCCCTGAGTCACTTCCCAGCATCTGCGCAAGGCTGGCGCTGCCCCATCCCGCCTGCGGCTGCTCCCATCACGTGATCATAAGAAAATAAACCTGGTTTCCCAGCTCTGTGCTCTGCCGCAGGCTCGGGGCCCATTTCCCAAACGCTGGGGGGAGCCGGGAGCTGCCAGGGCTGCCCCAGCCTCGGGGTAGAGGGTAAAGGCTGCGTGAAGAGGAACCAAACCCCAAACCGGGTCTGCGAAGCAGCCCTGGGGCTCCCAAGCCAGCCTCTGGGCTGAGCTCTGCGGTCCTGAGTCACTGCCTGACTCATCCTCAGAGGCGCCCCACAGAGAAGGGGCAACTTGGCCAGGGAAAATGCTCCATCTCCGCAAAGGACAGGAGGCAAAACACACCCATCAGAAGCACATGGCCAGTGCAGGGCCACACAGCCCTGGCTCCCACAGACCGCAGGCTGGAGAATGGGGGTCCGCGGTCAGCTCATAGCCCACCCGCCACCCAGCACTGCAGGGTCACACAGCCCTGGCTCCCAGAGGTCAGAGGCTGGAGGGCAGGGGTCCGTGGTCAGCTCACAGCCCACTCACCACCCAGCACGGCAGGTCTCAGCGGAAGCCCCACACACACTGGGTTGCAGCCTCCTGTGGTTCAAGATGGGTGGGGTTATTTTGAAATGTTGGCAAATAGAGCTGTGAGTCTTCAAACGGAACCCAAAGACTCAGTGAGGAAAGCAGGCGGGCTGGGCTGAGACTCACAGCTGCAGCGGCCGTGGTGAGCCACCTCACCTCCCCGAGCCTCAGTCTCCCCATCTGTTCAGGGGCACCGAGGAGCTGCCCCTCGGCTCATGGGCTCTGTGGTCGCCAGGCACGCCACACACCACACGCCACACACCACTGCACGCAGCACCCCGGGACACTGTGGCCTCGGCTCCCGCCTCTCCTGCACATGAGGCTCTTTCCTCTCTCCCACCCCATACCCCCCAAAAAAGAACCACCATCCTTACAAACAAATGAAAATCGGCTGGGTCTTTAGGGCCCGGCCACGATGTGTGACTGCAGCAGTGACTCTCAGGAGGAGGCACAACCAGACACCGGGTCCCCTGCAGCAGCTGAGACACCTCAAACCCCAAACCCTCAGTGAGGCCCTGGTGGGAAAAGGGGCTCTCCAGGGAGGTGCCAGGGGCAGGAGAGAGGGCCAGCGGCCGAGGAGCGGGAGGCGGCCGGGCGAGAGGAGGCCCGGGCAGGAGGGAGAAGGGGGGACCTGGCCTTTGCTCCTCATGGGATCCTCGGTGCGGCCCCCTCGTGACAGGCCCAGCCTCTCCCTGCAGTGGCCCAGCCACAGCTCAGGGCCAGGAGGCTCCTGCAGGCACAGGCGGCCGATGAGTCCCTTCCAGGCCTGGGCCTGGGGCAGCCTGCCATGTGCAGTAGACACTCAGTACTCACAGAATACGAGCAACCTCATGCTCTCCGCCGGCTGAGTTCCTGTGCGGCTGAGAGAACCCCCTGCATCATTCTGACACAGGTGCGCTCCTGTGAGCCAGCATGACACGGAAGGACACACACATGCAGGTGGAGATGGAGATGCTGGGCCGGGCTTGGGGGTCATACAGACAGGACCAGGGGCTCTGACCTGCTGGGAGATTTGGGGCCAGCATTCCAGGACTGAGAGAACAGATCCCTGGCCTGGGGTGCTCTGGGGCTGAGGATGGGCCCCCACCTGGGCTGAGGATGGGCCCAACCTGGGCTGAGGACGGGCCTCCCCACCTGGGCTGAGGACAGGCCCCCCTACCTGGGCTGAGGACGGGCCCCCCAACCTGGGCTGAGGACGGGCCCCCTGACCTGGGCTGAGGACTGGCCCCCTGACCTGGGCTGAGGACAGGCCCCCCAACCTGGGCTGAGGATGGGCCCCCCAGCTGGGGCACTCTGGGGCTGAGGACGGGCCCCCCACCTGGGGCACTCTGGAGCTGAGGATGGGCCCCCACCTGCGGTACTCTGGGGCTGAGGACGGGCCCCCCACCTGGGGCACTTCTGGGGCTGAGGATGGGCCCCCACCTGCGGACACCCCGGGGCTGAGGATGGGCCCCCACCTGGGGTACTCTGGGGCTGAGGATGGGTCCCCTACTCCAGCAGTTCTGGGATATTCTGGGCTTCAAGAAGCCTCCAGTCGTGTCAAGCAGGTTTTTGTTTAAGCTCTAACTTGAGAGTGAAAATAAATGTTCATGGGAAATGTGACTTTTCATGAGTCGCCTAATGTCAAAGTCGGTGTTTCCTAAGTCAGCAACTTGGTTTTTATTAAAAGCATCTGAGAGAATGAACCGTCTGTCTCCCAAACCACCAACTTCCTCCTGCCCCTTTCAGTTTCTAACCCCAAATAACTTCTCCCCTCCCGAAAAACTTTGGAGCTGTGGAGACATTTCTTGGTTTAGTCATTTCTACTACACAAAAGTACTATTTTGGGGGTGATTTACATCTTGCAGTATGAACAGAAAGAAACCTCCCTGTCTTTAACAAACACCCACTGCGTGCACACAGGACGGGACGGGCTTCCACCCAGAAGAGCTCAGAGCCTGCCCCTCAGGGCTGCCAAGTGAGGGTCCCTGGTGATGTCTGATGTCCTCGTCTGCCTGGGAAGACCCAGCTCTCCTCGCTCAGCTCTAGAAGATCTATCTGTTCCTTGACTTGTAACTTCTAATTGTACATAAAACACACAAACAAAAGAACAAGAACTCCCCCATAATTCCACTTCTCAGAAATCACATCACATTGACGTTTTTGTCTGCGTATCCAGATCATTTTGGGGGTGCTCATGATTTTTTAAACAAAAGAACTTTTCCTACAGACACAGCTTTGTAACCTAACGCATAACCAGCTTTCGGAGCAGGAGTTCAGGCCGTGGCACCTCTGGGTGGAGGGGGCACAGAAACCAGCCACGCCTGCAGTTTCTTCCTGTTGTGGCCACGGCCCCTTCTCCCCGAGATGGGCATGCAAATGAACCCTGCAAAGGACGCAGGAGCAACTCCACAGAAAGGGGGGGCCAGGGCTCCGCGTGGGGCAGAGGGCTTTGCCCAGCCTCAACCCCAGTGGCAGGGGGTAGGGTCAGACCCAGAACCCTGAGGCAGAGCCTCCCTGAGCCAGGACTGTCTGCGTGGATGAGGGTTTGGGGAGAGGTCAGCCACGTGGGCGCAGAGGAAGCAGGCAGGGACAGACACCATTCCACGTCCTTACGTGGATGGAAGGAAATGAGGACACGACACTTACTGAATATTCTTGCAAATGACTGGACTAACCCAGCAAGGAGAGATTTAGGTTCTGTTGTGTGTGACGCCAGCTGTTCCTTTCTGCTGGACAAGACGGTGATTTCCACTGCAGCGCAGCCTTGGGGAGCGGGGTCATCTCCTTGTTTTAGGGTCGTGGGTGCCGGCCCAGGGGAGGTCCAGGGCGGGAAGCTGGTTCCCAAGCCCCAGCCCTGCCAACCCAATTTCAGGGAGCCTTTTAGTTTAAGTAAATAAGGAAACAAATAGTGGCTGCCCTTTAAATGATTAAAAATGATTGCTCTAAAAGGTATGGATTGTGAACACAGTTCACTCTCAACCTCAGAAAATTATTTTTCTAGTAGGACAGAAACTGCCAAAATCACTTCCTTGGAGAAGGGCCAAGGCCAGAGAGAAAGGGCTTGTTCTCTGAAATGTGTCCACTTCGATGCGTTCTGAAGTTAAACCTGTGACAGACACTGCCCTTCAACCTCCACCTTGAAAAATACAGAAAAAAGGGAAGACAGAGGACGCTCTCCCCAGACGTCGGCTCAGCACTCGATAAAGAGGCCCCACAGACTCCAGGGCCTCGGACGCGCGGCCCAGGGGCCCGGGCCACACGCAGGGAGGAGGCGTGGGGGACACAGGCCTGAGGTGGAGCTGGGTCGGTGACCTCCTTAGTGGGAAAGAGGGAAGAAGAGAAGCTGAGTTCCGCCTTTCCTTCCTCACACATTCCATTTGCAGCTTCCTGCTAAGTCAGACGGCGATATTGGGCAACAGCAAATCAAACTTGACCCAAGTGCTTCTCCCCAGGGAATGTGAGAAGGGGCTCCTGCCCGGCTGCAGACCCAGCGGCCAGAGAGCACCCTGGGGCCCTTCTGAGCTCAGAGATGCAGACGTGGGCTTTTTTCTTTCCACAGCGACTTTGCCAAATGAACCATCAGACCTTAAAGGTGACACTGACCTTGGAGGAAGCACACGGGGGGCTGGGAGACTCAGGGACCGGGAGACTTGGGGGGCTGGGAGACTCGGGGGCCGGGAGACTCGGGGGACCAGGAGACTCAGGGGGCCAGGAGACACAGGGGCCAGGAGACTCAGGGGTCGGGAGACTCGGGGGTTGGGAGACTTGGGGGTCGGGAGACTGGGGGGTGGGAGACTGGGGGAATGGGAGATTCGGGGACCGGGAGACTCGGGGAGCCGGGAGACTCGGGGAGCCGGGAAACTGAGGGGGCCGGGAAACTGGGGGGCCAGGAGACTCGGGGGGCCAGGAGACTTGGGGGGCTGGGAGGCTCGGGGGCTGGGAGACTTGGGGGGCTGGGAGACTCGGGGGCCGGGAGACTTGGGGGGCCGGGAGACTCGGGGGCTGAGAGACTCAGGGGACCACTTGGGGGGCCAGGAGACTCGGGGGCCGGGAGACTTGGGGGGCCAGGAGACTCAGGGGCCGGGAGACTCAGGGGTCAGGAGACTGGGGGGTGGGAGACTGGGGGGGTGGGAGACTCGGGGACTGGGAGACTCAGGGAGCCGGGAGACTTGGGGGAACCGGGAAACTGGGGGGCCGGGAGACTCGGGGGCCGGGAGACTGGGGGGTGGGAGACTGGGGGGTGGGAGACTTGGGGACTGGGAGACTCGGGGAGCCGGGAGACTTGGGGGGACCGGGAAACTGGGGGGCCAGGAGACTCGGGGGCTGGGAGACTCAGGCGGCCGGGAGACTCGGGGGTTGGGAGACTCGGGGGGCCGGGAGACTTGGGGGCTGGGAGACTGGGGGGTGGGAGACTCGGGGGATGGGAGACTCGGGGACCAGGAGACTTGGGGGACCGGCCCCAAAGTGGGTGCCACCATGGAGCAAGGAGGGGGCGGTGGCCAGGACTAAACTCCCCAGCATGTGGGGCAGCCCTGCCTGACACCTGCCTCTCAGGTGGATGTCGACCAATGACTAATACAGGACTCTGTTAATGCATGTGCACCGATGGAGGGCTTCCGACCACAGATGTAGCGTGGATTCCAGCTGCAAGTTTATGAGAGAGCCAGCTTTTGGGTTCAAGTACCTTTCCTGCCAACTTTTTGTATGGGGTGGGTTGATTTGCGTTTTGCCCTCACACTACAGGGGCGGCCAGCCCGCACAGCCCTCCAAATGGACAGGGCTGCCAGCGTCCACACTAAACGGCGCCAGTGTTACACGTGGGCAGGGCTGCCGGCGTCCACGCTAAACGGCTCCACAGTCTTACACGTGGGCAGGGCTGCCGGCGTCCACGCTAAACGGCGCCACAGTCTTACACGTGGGCAGGGCTGCCGGCGTCCACGCTAAACGGCTCCACAGTCTTACACGTGGGCAGGGCTGCCGGCGTCCACGCTAAACGGCGCCACAGTCTTACACGTGGGCAGGGCTGCCGGCGTCCACGCTAAACGGCGCCACAGTTTTACACGTGGGCAGGGCTGCCGGCGTCCACGCTAAACGGCGCCACAGTTTTACACGTGGGCAGGGCTGCCGGCGTCCACGCTAAACGGCGCCACAGTGTTACACGTGGGCAGGGCTGCCGGCGTCCACGCTAAACGGCGCCACAGTGTTACACGTGGGCAGGGCTGCCGGCGTCCACGCTAAACGGTGCCACAGTTTTACTCTCTTGGAACTGTCCCACATGGGTTTCTCTTTCTTTGCTATCAGTCTTTTGTTGTGTGTGTTTTGGGTTTTTTTGAGACAAGGTCTTGCTCTGTCGCCCAGGCTGAAGTGCAGTGATGTAATCATGGCTCACTGCGGCCTCAACCTCCTGGCCTCAAGCAATCCTCACACCTCAGCCTCCCAAAGTGCTGGGATTACAGGTGTGAGCCACCACACCCGGCCAGAACCATGATTTCTATTTCTAAATTCTTCTGAAATATCTGAAAGACAACAGGCCCCCATTTCTCAACCTCACCTGAAAGAGAGGTTCCCAAACAGATTCTCCTCCCACTGGCTCTGATTCAGCGGGTCTGAGAGGATCCCGGCCTGAGAAAGACTGCCAGTAATTCTCCAGGCCCACAATCCATAGGCCTCTAACAACAGACCATTTAAACACAGAATGGACTTTTATCCAGGGAAGCTCCAAAGGCACTTCTGAAGGGCTCGGTCTCTTCCCATTTTCTTCAGAAGAATGGCTGTGCCCAGTCATCGCCATGGCAACCCCAAGACACTCTCATAAAGCCAGACTGGGCGCCTGACAATGCCCCTCAGCCTGCAGTTCTTTTTGACGAGTTATTTCAAAGAACCCGGAGCGTGCATTAACATAACACAAATGACTCTCACTCCTCGGCCTGGAGGGCAGCTGCGCCAAAGCCTTTTGGAAGCACTGTCAGTGACGGAGTGATATGAGCCCCAGTCTCTCCAGGGCAGGAGACCCCTCACAGTTTTCTAGTAAGTAAACTCACCCAGTCATCAGCATGGGTTGTTCATTCCCACTTGGAAGTAGCCAGATGCAAGGATATAATTCTTTAGCTAAACATGTTCTCAAAATCAAAATAGCTGTTTTGATCAAAGCACACGACCCATGCTTCTGAACTGAACGGTGCAGTCACAGCTGCAAGGATGTCTTCTCTGATCCCCAAGCCGCTCCTTATAACCCGGTGGAGTCACAGCTACACGGACATCTTCTCTGATCCCCAAGCCGCTCCCTTATAACCCAGCCGCCCCATGCTTCCCCCGAGGCCGCAGCACTGAGGCCCTGCCTGGCACACTCTCCCTGGCTTCTCTCTTCCCACCCCCGACATAAATCGCCATGGCTTCCTGTCCCTGTGCATCCCACCCCGTGCCATGTCCTGGTGTTCAACTGCAGTGGTCCTCCGAGTACGGCCTGGCCACTTAGCTGGAGCTTTTCAGAAACACAAGTTCTGGTTGTGCTCTGGACATCCTGGGGTCGGCACCCACATCTTCACACGCTCAAGTTGAGGGGGAAACTTGTTGATTTTAAGAGTTTGTTTTTCTTGGCTGACTCCTCTCTTCCTCAAATCATATCAATAAACACTTTCTAGGCCTCTTACCTCAGTTAACACCCATCTTCTGTATAGCTATTTTAGAAAATTTTACAGGAAGAGAAAAGCTTTCTCAGTATTTCCCCCTCTCGAAATCCTTAATTTGTACTCTTTTGTGGAGTGCGAGCTTCCCGGTTCATCTCTAATTAAAAAGCACTCGTGCGAGTCCACGCAGGGGGACCGCCGCCTACATGCACTTCCTGGACAGCGGGAGCATTTAGCCAACACCAGTTCACATCCACGCACCACCAAGGACAGAAGCTCAGCTGCCTGCACACCAGAGCCCCAGGGAGCATCTCCTCCTCAAACTAAGCAGGAGGAAAATGGGAAGGTGATGTACATGCTCAGGACATAATCTACATACAGAAAAATTCTCTACACGCGGGAAAATAGGATGGTGACGTACACGCTCGGGACACTGTCTACACACAGAAAAATTCTCTACACGCGGGAAAATGGGACAGTGATGTACACGCTCAGGACATTCTCTACACATGGGAAAATGGGACGGTGATATACACACTTGGGACATTGTCTACACATAGAAAAATTCCCTACACGCGGGAAAATGGGACGGTGATGTCCACGCTCGGGACATTGTCTACACACAGAAAAATTCTCTACACGCGGGAAAATGGGACAGTGATGTACACGCTCAGGACATTCTCTACACATGGGAAAATGGGACGGTGATGTACATGCTTGGGACACTGTCTACACACAGAAAAATTCCCTACACGCAGGAAAACGGGACGGTGACGTACACGCTCGGGACATTGTCTACGCACAGAAAAATTCCCTACACGCGGGAAAACGGGACGGTGATGTACACGCTCGGGACATTGTCTACGCACAGAAAAATTCCCTACACATGGGAAAATGGGACGGTGATGTACATGCTTGGGACACTGTCTACACACAGAAAAATTCCCTACACGCGGGAAAATGGGACGGTGACGTACACGCTCGGGACATTGTCTACGCACAGAAAAATTCCCTACACATGGGAAAATGGGACGGTGATGTACATGCTTGGGACACTGTCTACACACAGAAAAATTCCCTACACGCAGGAAAACGGGACGGTGACGTACACGCTCGGGACATTGTCTACGCACAGAAAAATTCCCTACATGCGGGAAAACGGGATGGTGACGTACACGCTCGGGACGTTCTCCACACATGGGAAAATGGGAAGGTGACGTACACCCTTGGGACATTCTCTACACCAAAGAAAACACATCAGTGCCAAGTAAAGCAACAGAAGACATTACCAGAGTGACTTTTCCACAATTTTGGTCCTGAAAACCTCCTCCTGGTCCAGGTTCACCGTGCAGTAGCAATCCCTCATCTTGCTCGGCCCCGGGTAAGAGGGAAGGTTTTTGGCTTCACCTAAAAAGTAAAAGCGACATACATCATCAGCAGCGTAGAAATGTTTGTTCCCTGCTACATCGCAGACACGTTTCCAGCCTTTGCTTGTGTGCATTCACTAGCTCTCTATAAAGCCTTGGTTTTTTTGCCACCACAAGTCAAAATGTGGATGTGCACCCCATGTGTACTGCCGAAAGGCGAGGGACATGCACGCCACCCTCTAATGCAAGTCCCGCAAGCAGGGACCTGCCAGCCTGGGACTCAGGATTGCTGTGTCTTGTTTACCTGCATTAGTCCCTTTATTTTAATTTTTAACATACAATTTTCCATCTCTGACCTGCTCGCGTGCACAGTTCTGTGGCATTAACCACGTTCACCGAGTTGTGCAACCATCACCACCGTCCTCTCTGGAACACTCTCGTCTTCCCAAACGGAGACTCGGTCCCCATTCAACACTCACTCCCATCCCCCTCCTGCTGTCTCCCAGTGGCCCTCACCCCACTTTCTGTCTCTGTGGATCTGACTACTCTGGGGCCTCACGTCGGCGGGATCCACAGGACGTGTCCTTTCAGCCCGGCTCACTCTACTCAGCAAATGTCCTCCAGGGTGGCCCCTGCTGTGGCCGCTGACTGGATTCCCTTCTATTTTAAGGTTGAATAACTTCCATGATGCAAAGGGACCTCGTCTTGCTTATTCATTTATCCACTGAGTCCCTTTTTATTTTGAATTTTATTTTATATTAGGTCAAAGTTGGAGCCAGAATTAAAGGAAAGAGCTCTTTCTTGTGGACGTGAGTTAACTGTAAACTCCAGCTGTTCGAATTGCCAGTAAAGAGAAGCGTCCCAGAGGGACCTAAGCTAGGTCCACCTCTCCCTCCTTCAAGCCCACAGAGACGCCACCTGGACGTGCTTGAAGGAAGTGGGGCCAGTTCCTGGCTGGCCCTGCAGAAAACGCCCGTGATCCCGGACTCCTTGTTTGCCAGGGGTCAGTCTGGAGGTCATAACTGAACCCCAGCTGCGACTTCTCTGCTGGAAGCTCGGAGCATGCCCCAGCGGCAAGCCTAACGGCCCAGTTTACTGGAGAATAGGGAGTGAGCAGGAAGGGATGAGTGACAGCTGTCAATCCAGACAGCGGATGCCCAGTTTAAGTCCATTCTGTAAAAAAAACGCCTCAAACACACTCGCGCCTCCCCAGGGCCTTTTCTGCCTCCGTCATTTGGCTCTAAAGACGCCTGGCAGTGGCGTCTCCACGACGCAGGATGAGAGGACAGATGCAGGCACAGGCACCACGCTGAGACCACACCAAGGCTCCTGCTGGCGCCACTCAGGGCCACATCACCTTATTCTTGTTGAAACAAACAAAATCAAAAACGGGAGCAGAGTAGAAGTTTCTCAGAACCCCACTTCCGCCACTCCGCGCTGAATGTTTCGCGTCAACTCAGCAAGCGCACACGTCATGGCTCACATGGGGCAGTCGGCTCATTTCAAAGATGCCAGTTTGCAAACTGGCATGCCAGCAACTCCAAAGGGCAGAGATAAACTCAGTTTGAAGCTTTTTAAAGACTTTTCATCCACAATATTAACCTGAGGCACTGTGAGAAGGAGCAGAAGCCCCAGGGTCTGGACAACGCCTCCCGTGTCCGCGCCGCGTATCTCTGCGTGTGGAGGCACCGGCAGGACGAAGCCTCCCGTGTCGGCGCCGCGTATCTCTGGGTGTGGAGGCGCCGGCAGGACGAAGCCTCCCGTGTCCGCGCCGCGTATCTCTGCGTGTGGAGGCGCCGGCAGGACGAAGCCTCCCGTGTCCGCACCGCGTATCTCTGCGTGTGGAGGCGCCGGCAGGACGAAGCCTCCCGTGTCCGCACCGCGTATCTCTGCGTGTGGAGGCGCCGGCAGGACGAAGCCGCCCGTGTCGGCGCCGCGTATCTCTGGGTGTGGAGGCGCCGGCAGGACGAAGCCTCCCGTGTCCGCGCCGCGTATCTCTGCGTGTGGAGGCGCCGGCAGGACGAAGCCTCCCGTGTCGGCGCCGCGTATCTCTACGTGTGGAGGCGCCGGCAGGACGAAGCCTCCCGTGTCCGCGCCGCGTATCTCTGCGTGTGGAGGCGCCGGCAGGACGAAGCCTCCCGTGTCGGCGCCGCGTATCTCTGGGTGTGGAGGCGCCGGCAGGACGAAGCCTCCCGTGTCGGCGCCGCGTATCTCTGCGTGTGGAGGCGCCGGCAGGCGTTCCCAGCAGCACCCGCTGCTGCCCACACGGAGCAGCTCTCAGGGTCTCACTGCTTGCGGCCGTTTCCCGCCAGTGCCCCCAACACACAGTCTACCTCTCTGGGCCTCAAAGTCCTGAACTGCAAAAGCAAGAGACACAGCAGCTCTCGAAGGCTCCTCCGGCTCTGAGACGCCTCTAATTCAAAAGGTTCTGGAAATTTTTATTTTGGGAATCATTAAGGAAGCATCAATGATAATCGGTTGGTGGGAAAAAATGAGTATTTCCTGATAGGCACTGGACCCTCAGAACACCTCAACACGGCGACTCTCCCGGGATGCGCCTTCTTCACCCGCTGCATGGGAGAACACAGCTAGGCTGCTACGAGGCACCTGGCTCCAGGCCAGGCCTCAGGTCGGTCATCCCATGTCAGAAGACAGGCTTTCCGAAGGCTCCCACCGATGTGAAGATCCCACACGCAGCACACGCACACACGCAGCGCACACACGCAGCACACGCACGCAGGCAGCACCGCACACACACGCAGCACACGCAGGCAGCACACGCACACACACGCGGCACACGCAGGCAGGGTGTGTGATGAGTTCACAGGCACGAAGGGGAGAACATGGCCGGCGAGCTTCTCCAGAGAGGGAAGGGAGCCTGGGGGATGGCAGTTGAGGTTCCCGGAGCAGACGCAGCCTTCCTGGTGGCCGCGGCTGCCCCTGAATTTGAGGGCAGCCGCAGCACACCCAGCAAGTCGGACAGGGGCCCCTCCAGCCTCCCGGCCCTGTTTTGGAACTGACGGCTTCTGCAGCAGATAGAAGTCCTTACCCTCAAACACAGCTTGACTTTGCTGACTTTCCTTCTGACACCTTTACAGTGTGACCTGACGCTGACCATATTTCCCTTGGGATTTTACTGGGTTTTTTGTTTTTGTCTTTGGGAGTTTTTTGTTTTTGTTTTGTTTTCTGGGATTTCTTTGTTTTTTGCAACAAATGAGTGTAGATATTTAGCTGTAAGTTCCTGTGTTTCTTAAAAGGAGAGAGAAAAAAGCTTTTGAAAGTCCTGTGGGAGATGGTGTTTGTGGATAATACGGAACTGAGATTTGTTCCCACAGGGCCTCAAATCACAGCAGTAACAGCTGGGTCTTCCGAAGGCGGACACTGCAGGACGGAAACACACAAGCTTTCTGTGGAGTCCCTGTAAGACAGACGCCGTACGACATGAAAAGGCCGGATCCCCCTGCGCTGGCGCCAACACACCAGATTCATCCCTCCCTGCCTGATGATGCCCAGTCCCACCGCACTGGCACCAACGCACCAGGTTCCTCCATCCCTGCCTGACGATGCCCAGTCCTACCGCACTGGCACCAACGCACCCAATTCATCCCTCCGTCCCTGCCTGACGATGCCCAGTCCCCCCACACTGGCACCAACACACCGGATTCATCCCTTCCTCCCTCCCCACTCAATGATGCCCAGTCCCCCCACACTGGCACCAACGCACCGGATTCATCCCTCCCTCCCTGCCCGACGATGCCCAGTCCCACCGCACTGGCACCAATGCACCGGATTCATCCTTCCTCCCTGCCCGACAATGCCCAGTCCCCCCACACTGGCACCAACGCACCGGATTCATCCCTCCCTCCCTCCCTGCCCAACGATGCCCAGTTCCCCCGCACTGGCACCAAGGCACCGGGTTCCTCCCTCCCTGCCCGATGATGCCCAGTCCCCTGGCCCCAAAACACACCAGGTTCCTCCCTCCCCGCCCGATGGCCCCGTCTTTACCTCCTTCTCCTTGCTCACTGTCATCTGGGGCTGAGACTCTTTCTTTTTAATCTACTTTTGCTATGATGCATTTAATAAAAAAAAAAGTGGGGGGACAAAATGCAAGCCCATTTCCCTGCCTCAGGCTTCTGATGCCATCACCTCCAAGGCACTGGTTTTGTTTCCAACTGTTAATAAAGCATTGAAACAGAAAAAAAAAAAAAAAACTCCTGAGAAACATCCTGGTTGCTATGACGACAGCAACACCAGGGAGCCTGCTGGACGCACCAACATCCAATGAGCTGCTCAGACCAGGAGGGCTGGGGCTGCTGCAGCACGGCCTGGCCACGTCGCCCCGGGGCCTCGCCGTGTGTGCCACATGCACCAGGACCGAGCCTCTCCCTGCAGCCCCACAGCTGAGCGGGACGGGGGCTGCCCCAGCTCCCAAGCAACTGTTTCTTCTCCACCGCACCCCAAACAGTTCATTCAGTTACCTTCACCAAAGGTGCCTGTTCTGTCTCTCTTAGAGGAAACACGTTTTCTCTTTTTTTTCTGGTGCACAGAGACGTTCATATAAAAAGACAAAGCTGTCTGTGGTATACAGTAAGTACCTAATTATCTGTTGCATGCATGGATGAATAAATGAATTAAAAGAAAAGTAAACTGGTTTCATCCTAACAGCCAAATAAGTAACAGTTCTCATGACCACTTTTCCCACAGACCATGCCTCTAAAACATATGCGGTGTGTTCACCAGCCGGCAGACTGATGAAGACAGCCAACACAGCACCTCGCATCGGCTCTGAAAACTCAACTAACAGGAGTAAAAGGCAGCACTTAAACACATTTAATGTAAACAGCATAACACCGCAAAACCTGATTTCCAACTCCAGGGATCAGGCAGTGAGTAACAAAAACAAAGGCCCTGATCCAAAGCGTCATGACTCCCACGCCCACGGCAGCCCTTCTGGGCCATGGAGGGAAGCTGCACCCTCAGGGTGAGCACAGGCCCAGCCCTGACCGAGGGTTAGGATGCCCAGGCTTCCCTGGAGGCCCACACAGGGTCTCCAAGTGCTGACAGCGAGCTGTCGGGGCTGCCCGCAGCACCCGGAGCCACACCCCTGTACCCAGGAGGAGCTGTGAGGGCATGGGGAGGTCTCCACAGACCCCACCCAGCACTGCTCCTCCCTGCAGGCATCCTGGGGAGGGCCCTCAGGCGGGGCTGGCCTCATGTACTGCTCAACACAGCAGCGGGCGTCTCCCAGGCGCTCAGCAGCTCAGCTCAGCGCCCAGTGAAGAGGGCGGAGGAAGGAATGAAGGCAGCCACGGGTGAGGACGAGGGCCCAGGGCTCCACTGAGCAAAGCTCCTGGCACCAACCCAGACAGAAGACGTCCTGGAGAGGCCAGGGCTGTGCTGGTACTGGCCGCGTCCACCCAGGCTGGGCGCTCTTCTCTTTCCCACGTCATCACGGCGTTTTACTCAACTACAGGTCGGCCTCACTGAAATAACGTGGAACAGGTGATGGCGACAGCCCCGGTGCATGGTCCAGCGAAAGCAACCCCGTCCCAGCAATAAAGCCCAGGGCCTGTTGGGGAAGGAGACCCTGCGGGAGAATTGGAGGAAGTGCGGCTCTCAAGGCTCCCAACCTCAGCCTTTTAGTCGTCCCAACGCAAAACATTCAAAGGGGCCTAAAAATTTTGCTAGGCACACAGCGTCTTCTAACAACATAAAGTATTTACCGGAACAATAGTCTTGTGACTAAAATATCTGAATAAAGGATGAAGAGCCCCGTCTACTTTGGGCTATTTAGAAGCCTGGAACAGCGATCCCAGCCCTGGCCCCTGGGATCCTCACTCGAACAGGTCCTCCTCCAGGCCCTGGCAGGGTCTCAGTGAGGCACAGAAGCCTCTGTGCCATGCGTGGGTAGAGACCCCTCTCCGGGCTCTGAGCTGCTGACTGCAAGGCCCATGTGCCCCCTGGCTCCTGTTCGCCTCTGGACACGGGGGCTCCGTGACTGGCCTCTGAGTGGGCCTGAGTGCCCGTCCGCACTGGCCTCCCCACCCGGCACCCTCCGTGGGACGAGGCTGCACATCTCGGTGGGCTGACTGCGGTGCAGAGGCCATAAGAGGAAGAGGCGGGGGGGCCCCGAGGCAGGGGACACAGCGTCTTGAGGACACAGCATGACCCTGACCCCCACGACCCCTGGCAACACAAGTGCCTTCCCGAAGGGCCTGCGAAGCTGCCAGAAATAGGCAGAACTCGGCGAGGCCGTGGGAGTGGGGTTTCCTCTGGGCCGAGTCGAGGGCAGACGGCACCTGCTCTATCCTCACGCTCAGGAGGGGCAGAGGCCGCTGGGCTTGGATGGAGCCAGGCCCAGGTCTTGTCCAGGGCTCTCCAGGGCACCATGCTCCTCCCTCAAGAGGACTCCTGTGGGTTATGAATGACAGAAGCCCAGGCTGCCATCCTCAAGCAAGGCACCCCCCAATCCTCCTGGCCGGGAGGGGCTGCTGGGAGCCCCTGGCACCAGCGGGCTTCTGTGGGCGGTGGAAGGAGGAGAGGGCTGTGCGGGCTGATTCCAAAACTCACTGGGTGACACCACCTGCCCAGGGAGGGCCCAGCACTGCCGTCCAGGGGGTCTGCCTGTCGTCCAGTCTCCTTGAGAGCACCTCCAGCTCCCTCCAGTCTCCACGGCTCTTCAGAGGGCACGGGAGGTTCTGCTGAGGGGCGGGTGACCAGGCCCAGATGTTAAACCCTCCCAAATAACGGGCATATTCAATGTAATTGAAACTTCCACCACAGGGAGAATGAGTCTATGGTGACGGGGTGGCAGGAGGGGTCCTAGAAGGCGCCCACTGTGCTTACTGGAGGCCTGACCCCGACAACGGCTGAAACAGGGGTCTCCCCCAGGGGCCACTGAAACAGGGGTCTCCCCCAGGGGCCACCTCCCAGGGCACGCTTGGATTTCACTATGGGCTGTGCAAATGGCATCTGGTGGGCAGAGTGCAGGGTGTCTTCTGTTCAGTGTCCTGCTGCACACGGTGCCCCAGGGCACAGGGCCGTCCACCTAGAACACCAATAGTGCCGTGTGGCAGAGGGCCGTCCACCCAAAACACCAATAGTGCCCCTCGGCAGAGGGCCGTCCACCTAGAACACCAATAGTGCCCCTCGGCAGAGGGCCGTCCACCTAGAACACCAAGAGTGCCCCTCGGCAGAGGGCCGTCCACCTAGAACACCAAGAGTGCCCCACGGCAGAGGGCCGTCCACCTAGAACACCAAGAGTGTCCCACGGCAGAGGGCCGTCCACCTAGAACACCAATAGTGCTGCGTGGCAGAGGGCCGTCCACCCAAAACGCAACAGTACCCCAGTTACACGCTCCTGGTGCAAATGACCCTCCTCTCGTGCTTGGTGCAAAGGCTGTTAGCAACGGGCCACACAGGAGATGCTGCCACGTCACTCCAGAGACTCACGCGTCCCGAGACCCAAGTGATCCCTAAACGTCTAGGAGGAGACCTGGCCTTGGAGCCAGGTCAGCCAGAAGGTTGTCCAGGCCGGGCCTCCCCAGGGCTGCCCAGTCTCCCGATGCAGTATAACTCTCAAGGCGCGGGGGCCGCATCACCCAGCACTCTGGAAATGCTGTCCGCAGACCACGGCCACCAGCACATGCACTCTCGTGGTTCTGACTGCCTGTGAATCCAGCTGGTCTACAATGAGCCGCTGGGGAAAATACTTCAAGTCCTGAGATGAATGGAGCAGGAATGCCTCTGGAATATCCTGAGAAACACGACTCCAAACCCTGTCAGCTGGTTCTAACTGTGCTCACTCTTATAAACAGGTAATAAAATATGGGAAAGAAGGCGATTGCAGACAGGGGACCTCTCCTCCACAGAGACGTGTCCACCAGGAGACTGAGGCAAATCCTATGGGTTCAAAACCGAAGTTTCACTGGCGGCTGAAAACACCCAGGGAATAACGAGGAAAGAGAAGGCAAAGGTGGGCTGAAATGAAGCCGCCCTTCTGAGTTCACAAAGGAGCAGAGACACACCGGTGCTGCACAGGAACCCCCAGGGCCCCCGTGTTCCTAGCGCAGCAGAGCCTGCCCCGCATCCAGGCTGCATCTCCTGGGGCTGTGACTCCTCTCCTGAGTCCACACACAGGACCTCACACCTGCACTCACCGGCTGCAGCTGCACACACAGGAGAGCTTCTCACAGGACAAATGCCTGGACCCCACCCAGAGATTGCCATTCTTTGACTAGGACGGGCTCCAGGCAGTAAGAACAGACATTCGTCTTGATTAGAAAGCCTGCAGGTGGTTCTGGGTGCAGCCAGGACTGAGAGGCATTACTTACTGCTGAGAACTGAGAAGGTGTGAAGATGCCCCTACCTCCTCGCCCCACTCACCGGGGAGCTGCGGGTCTCACAGGGGCAGGCAGGAGGCCAGAGACGTCCACGTCTGAGACAAAGGACATCACCGCAACAGCAGAGCCAGAGCTGCAGCGTCTGCAGGTGCCCTGGTTTGCCTCACGCAGTACCAAATTGGGATTGGGAACCCAGTGATGCCTGCACACATATCGGCTGCACCTTGGGAGCAGGGCCTGAGCCTGGGGAACCCTAGTCTCTTATAACGGGCAGTGGCAACAATGCTGACATCTGCCTCGGAGAGAGATGCTTTCTTCCTGATCACGGACAGTGGGCAAACCTCCCTGTGCTCCGAGGCTCCGAGGCTGCTCCCCGGGTGGACACACGCGCTTGAATGGAGAGTGAGGAACAAAGGGAACTGGGTCTTTCTCCCTTGATGCGCCGCACTGAGATAAAACCATGAAGAACGTCTCCCAGCTGCGTCCCGTCTGGGGGCAGCCCCAGAGAAGGAATGGGGGGCAGGGAAAACAACTTTCCTTAACCCAAGCAACGTTTAGTTCACACCCAGCCTGTACGCAAGAGGGGAAGGGACAGGCCTGGGGCTGCACCCCCAGGTGGGTGGTCCCAACAGAGGTTTAACAACCTGGTTCTCTAGGGGAAAAATGCATGCACGAGCTCAACTAGGTTAAGTCATACATTGCACTAGTGTAAAAGATGTGTAGCACACAACTCACAAAAAATAATGAGATACACAGTCCTCTACTTCAAACTCACAGAGCTAATTGATTCTCACAGCAAACTCTTGTCTCTAAGCCAATCCTGGGCTGCATTTAACCAGGATTTGACAAACAGAGGCAACGCACCCTCTGCTAGCTGGTTCTCAAAAAGTGCGTCATCACTGAGTGTGATATGTGTCGACCATTAAAACATTTCTCCCACTCATACAAATTATATTAAGCTGACATCTCTTCTGGCTTTCACACTGGGAATGCTGGCGCTTCACTCATTCATCAATGTCACAAGCAACTTTGTTGAATCAGGTGAAGTTTTAAATGCCAGAAAAACATTGTCTTAATTTTTTTGTGCTATTGCAGTGTAACCGCTATATACAAGATTATTTAATTCAGGGTAGCAAGATTAGATGATCAACAAAACCTTTGTTCAAACGTGAGCTCAATTTCCTCCGATGTGTGGCCCATCCTGATTTCTGTGGTGTGAACATTCCTGGCCGATTTCAAGCGACCAGTGTGGCCCCAAAGCCAGAGAGAGGAGAGCAGGGCCCCGTTCAGAGGCACCCACACCTCCAGAAGCACCCAGCCAGACAGCCTGGAGCCCAGCAGCAATGGCGTGCCGTGAAATCACAGGAAGTGCTGAGTCTGGAGTATCGACTCCCTTCGTCCTCGCGGGGAAATCACGGGGAAGTGGTGAGTCTGGAGTATCGACTCCCTTCGTCCTCGCGGGGAAATCACGGGGAAGTGGTGAGTCTGGAGTATCGACTCCCTTCCTCCTCGCGGGGAAATCACGGGGAAGTGGTGAGTCTGGAGTATCGACTCCCTTCGTCCTCGCGGGGAAATCACGGGGAAGTGGTGAGTCTGGAGTATCGACTCCCTTCGTCCTCGCGGGGAAATCACGGGGAAGTGGTGAGTCTGGAGTATCGACTCCCTTCCTCCTCGCGGGGAAATCACGGGGAAGTGCTGAGTCTGGAGTATCGACTCCCTTCGTCCTCGCGGGGAAATCCCGGGGAAGTGCTGAGTCTGGAGTATCGACTCCCTTCCTCCTCGCGGGGAAATCCCGGGGAAGTGCTGAGTCTGGAGTATCGACTCCCTTCGTCCTCGCGGGGAAATCCCGGGGAAGTGCTGAGTCTGGAGTATCGACTCCCTTCGTCCTCGCGGGGAAATCCCGGGGAAGTGCTGAGTCTGGAGTATCGACTCCCTTCCTCCTCGCGGGGAAATCACGGGGAAGTGCTGAGTCTGGAGTATCGACTCCCTTCCTCCTCGCGGGGAAATCCCGGGGAAGTGCTGAGTCTGGAGTATCGACTCCCTTCCTCCTCGCGGGGAAATCCCGGGGAAGTGGTGAGTCTGGAGTATCGACTCCCTTCCTCCTCGCGGGGAAATCCCGGGGAAGTGCTGAGTCTGGAGTATCGACTCCCTTCCTCCTCGCGGGGAAATCCCGGGGAAGTGCTGAGTCTGGAGTATCGACTCCCTTCCTCCTCGCGGGGAAATCCCGGGGAAGTGCTGAGTCTGGAGTATCGACTCCCTTCCTCCTCGCGGGGAAATCCCGGGGAAGTGCTGAGTCTGGAGTATCGACTCCCTTCCTCCTCGCGGGGAAATCACGGGGAAGTGCTGAGTCTGGAGTATCGACTCCCTTCCTCCTCGCGGGGAAATCCCGGGGAAGTGCTGAGTCTGGAGTATCGACTCCCTTCCTCCTCGCGGGGAAATCCCGGGGAAGTGCTGAGTCTGGAGTATCGACTCCCTTCGTCCTCGCGGGGAAATCCCGGGGAAGTGCTGAGTCTGGAGTATCGACTCCCTTCGTCCTCGCGGGGAAATCCCGGGGAAGTGCTGAGTCTGGAGTATCGACTCCCTTCGTCCTCGCGGGGAAATCCCGGGGAAGTGCTGAGTCTGGAGTATCGACTCCCTTCGTCCTCGCGGGGAAATCCCGGGGAAGTGCTGAGTCTGGAGTATCGACTCCCTTCCTCCTCGCGGGGAAATCCCGGGGAAGTGCTGAGTCTGGAGTATCGACTCCCTTCCTCCTCGCGGGGAAATCCCGGGGAAGTGCTGAGTCTGGAGTATCGACTCCCTTCGTCCTCGCGGGGAAATCCCGGGGAAGTGCTGAGTCTGGAGTATCGACTCCCTTCGTCCTCGCGGGGAAATCCCGGGGAAGTGCTGAGTCTGGAGTATCGACTCCCTTCGTCCTCGCGGGGAAATCCCGGGGAAGTGCTGAGTCTGGAGTATCGACTCCCTTCGTCCTCGCGGGGAAATCCCGGGGAAGTGCTGAGTCTGGAGTATCGACTCCCTTCGTCCTCGCGGGGAAATCCCGGGGAAGTGCTGAGTCTGGAGTATCGACTCCCTTCGTCCTCGCGGGGAAATCCCGGGGAAGTGCTGAGTCTGGAGTATCGACTCCCTTCGTCCTCGCGGGGAAATCCCGGGGAAGTGCTGAGTCTGGAGTATCGACTCCCTTCGTCCTCGCGGGGAAATCCCGGGGAAGTGCTGAGTCTGGAGTATCGACTCCCTTCCTCCTCGCGGGGAAATCCCGGGGAAGTGCTGAGTCTGGAGTATCGACTCCCTTCCTCCTCGCGGGGAAATCCCGGGGAAGTGCTGAGTCTGGAGTATCGACTCCCTTCGTCCTCGCGGGGAAATCCCGGGGAAGTGCTGAGTCTGGAGTATCGACTCCCTTCGTCCTCGCGGGGAAATCCCGGGGAAGTGCTGAGTCTGGAGTATCGACTCCCTTCGTCCTCGCGGGGAAATCCCGGGGAAGTGCTGAGTCTGGAGTATCGACTCCCTTCGTCCTCGCGGGGAAATCCCGGGGAAGTGCTGAGTCTGGAGTATCGACTCCCTTCGTCCTCGCGGGGAAATCCCGGGGAAGTGCTGAGTCTGGAGTATCGACTCCCTTCGTCCTCGCGGGGAAATCCCGGGGAAGTGCTGAGTCTGGAGTATCGACTCCCTTCGTCCTCGCGGGGAAATCCCGGGGAAGTGCTGAGTCTGGAGTATCGACTCCCTTCGTCCTCGCGGGGAAATCCCGGGGAAGTGCTGAGTCTGGAGTATCGACTCCCTTCGTCCTCGCGGGGAAATCCCGGGGAAGTGCTGAGTCTGGAGTATCGACTCCCTTCGTCCTCGCGGGGAAATCCCGGGGAAGTGCTGAGTCTGGAGTATCGACTCCCTTCGTCCTCGCGGGGAAATCCCGGGGAAGTGCTGAGTCTGGAGTATCGACTCCCTTCGTCCTCGCGGGGAAATCCCGGGGAAGTGCTGAGTCTGGAGTATCGACTCCCTTCGTCCTCGCGGGGAAATCCCGGGGAAGTGCTGAGTCTGGAGTATCGACTCCCTTCGTCCTCGCGGGGAAATCCCGGGGAAGTGCTGAGTCTGGAGTATCGACTCCCTTCGTCCTCGCGGGGAAATCCCGGGGAAGTGCTGAGTCTGGAGTATCGACTCCCTTCGTCCTCGCGGGGAAATCCCGGGGAAGTGCTGAGTCTGGAGTATCGACTCCCTTCCTCCTCGCGGGGAAATCCCGGGGAAGTGCTGAGTCTGGAGTATCGACTCCCTTCGTCCTCGCGGGGAAATCCCGGGGAAGTGCTGAGTCTGGAGTATCGACTCCCTTCCTCCTCGCGGGGAAATCCCGGGGAAGTGCTGAGTCTGGAGTATCGACTCCCTTCCTCCTCGCGGGGAAATCCCGGGGAAGTGCTGAGTCTGGAGTATCGACTCCCTTCCTCCTCGCGGGGAAATCCCGGGGAAGTGCTGAGTCTGGAGTATCGACTCCCTTCCTCCTCGCGGGGAAATCCCGGGGAAGTGCTGAGTCTGGAGTATCGACTCCCTTCGTCCTCGCGGGGAAATCCCGGGGAAGTGCTGAGTCTGGAGTATCGACTCCCTTCGTCCTCGCGGGGAAATCCCGGGGAAGTGCTGAGTCTGGAGTATCGACTCCCTTCCTCCTCGCGGGGAAATCACGGGGAAGTGCTGAGTCTGGAGTATCGACTCCCTTCGTCCTCGCGGGGAAATCCCGGGGAAGTGCTGAGTCTGGAGTATCGACTCCCTTCGTCCTCGCGGGGAAATCCCGGGGAAGTGCTGAGTCTGGAGTATCGACTCCCTTCCTCCTCGCGGGGAAATCACGGGGAAGTGCTGAGTCTGGAGTATCGACTCCCTTCGTCCTCGCGGGGAAATCCCGGGGAAGTGCTGAGTCTGGAGTATCGACTCCCTTCGTCCTCGCGGGGAAATCCCGGGGAAGTGCTGAGTCTGGAGTATCGACTCCCTTCCTCCTCGCGGGGAAATCCCGGGGAAGTGCTGAGTCTGGAGTATCGACTCCCTTCGTCCTCGCGGGGAAATCCCGGGGAAGTGCTGAGTCTGGAGTATCGACTCCCTTCGTCCTCGCGGGGAAATCACGGGGAAGTGCTGAGTCTGGAGTATTTATTCCCTTCGTCCTCGCGGGGAAATCACAGGAAGTGGTGAGTTTGGAGTATCGATTCCCTTCGTCCTTGTGGGGAAATCACGGGGAAGTGGTGAGTCTGGAGTATTTATTCCCTTCGTCCTCAGCGTATGTGATGGGATTCTGAATGGGGGCTGTGTTTATCTGGGCATAAAACTCCTGAAGATTGGCAGCAGGAGTCCACGCAGAGACCTCCTGGAGATGGGCGCGCTACACGAGCTTTTGAAATGAGCAAGTTTCCAGAGCCGGCGGGATTGCGGGGGCACCTGGGAAGGCAAAGTCACCTGCACCCGCTCTGCAGCCCCGGCCTGCGCCTCTGGAGGGAGGGCCCCGGGCAGTGCCAGCAGGAACGAGCCTGCCTCAGAGCCCCAAGTCTCAGTGGAGCTCCTTCCAGGCTGACATGGGGCTGACGGCTCCCGGGGCCAGCAGGGCGCCCGCCCGACACCACCACAACCCATTTCAGTGACAGATAACTTCAGACAACTTATCAGAGGGCCTTGGAGGGCCGGAGGCAGCAACACACACAGCCTGATTCTGGGAGCAGCATTTCCTTCCAAAAACCTTAAATCGGATAATGAGCCGGGCGCGGTGGCTCTTGCCTTTAATACCAGAATTTTGAGAGGCTGAGGCTGACGGATGGCTCGAGCCCAGGAGTTGGAGACCAGCCTGGCCAACATAGCGAAACCTCATCTCTACTAAAAATACAAAAAATTAGCTGGGCGTGGTGGCGCACGCCTGTAGTCCCAGCTATTTGTGAGGCTGAGGTGGGAGGATCACTTGATCCCAGGAGGTGGAGGTTGCAGTGAGCCATGATCACACCACTGCACTCCAGCCTGGATGACAGAGTGAGGCCCTGTCTCAAAAAAAAATAAAAGGAAAGAGAGACACATCAGTCACAGATACACACACAACAAATCTAAAATAGACATGTGAAGGCCTACACAATTAAGGAATAATATTTTGGAAATGTCAATGATTAACGTGCCTTTAGACTTAAAAAATTCTGCTGTGTGACTTATTTTCTAACACCTCAGCTGCACACCCTTGAGCCACAGTTCTGCTCACTCTCAGGGCCACATAAGGAAGGTTCTCAGTCTTCCCCGCCCTGGAGCTCCCAGCCATTTGCTCTGATCCCTTCTACAGCAATTCTCTTGGGCTCCTTCAAGTGTAAGCCTCTTGCCCCCTAGGGAAAGGAATGCCTGAAGAATCACACTTCGACTTCCTTATCTGAAGGCCATACTTGATGGATTTGAACAGATTTGCACATTTAAATTCCCAAATTAATTTTTTTTTTTTTTGAGACGGAGTTTCACTTTTATTGCCCAGGCTGGAGTGCGATGGTGCAATCTTGGCTCACGGCAACCTCCGCCTCCCAGGTTCAAACAGTCTCCTGCCTCAGCCTCCTGAGAAGTTGGGATTACAAGCGTGCGCCACCATGCCCAGCTAATTTTGTATTTCTATTAGAGACAAGGTTTCTCCATGTTGGTCAGGCTGGTCTTGAACTCCCGACCTCAGGTGATCCAACCGCCTTGGCCTCCCAAAGTGCTGGGATTACAGGCGTGAGCCACTGTGCCTGGCCCTAAAATTCCCAAATTAATTTTCACATGGTAAAATGTTCCCTGGTTACTAATAACAATAAATAAGATTATGGAAACAAAGTAGAGACGATCCGTAAGAAATAAATAGGGATTAAAAACTCCACCATATATGAAGTTCATAATTACCAGCACAGCGGTGCAGGGACAGCCCCCAGCTCCTCCTCCCAGGGCAGCAGAGCCTGGCGAGTCCCGAATCCCTGGTGGAGCTCCCCTCAAGCCTCCCAGCAGGGCTCTGTCCCCTAAGCCTTCTGCTCCTTCGCTCCTTCCTGCTGCACTTTCTGCTACTTGCACAGCAATTTCTAATAGTTCTCATTAGAGGGGCAGAGCAGCTGAAAAGGGTGAAGAAAATAAGAGACCAAGATGGCAGGGATGTTCGGAGGAGGAGAGAGGAGGGGAGACGAGGGGAGACGAGGGGAGACGAGCGGGGAGGAGGGGGGGAGGAGGGGGGAGGGGGAAGGGGAAAGCTGCAGAGAATGAAGGTGAGGACCTGGTGGAAACCTCACAGAGGGTGATTTGAATACAACCTGATCTTCCCTGGCATGGAGGGCAGGAGGCGGCCACCTGAGCCCCGCACAGGTGCCCGGCAAGCCCAGGCAGAGGACCAAGCAGAAGGTGCTGTCTGATCCAGCCGCAGAACTAAGGAACGCCTTTAGCCCCTGCTCCCAGCTGCAGAAGAGTTGCCCGGTGACCCAGGAAGCAGGAGGAAAGGGCAGGCCTGGGCCAGCCCTGCACGGACATCAGCCCTGCACAGACATCAGCCGCGCACGGCCGCCCCACAGCCTGCACACAGGTGTTCACGGCACGTGTGTGGGTGTCTTGATTGACACCACACAACTCCCTGCTTTTAAAGGGCACGATCCCGTGGTTTTTAGTGTATTCCGAGTTGAGCAACCGTTATCACGATTGACGCGAGCATTTCCGTCCCCCTGAACGAAACCCACCCTCCTCCCCCAGCCCCCGGCAACCACGAGTCCACTCTGTGTCTCTGTGGGTCTGCTTGTCCTGGACATTTCATGGAATGGGACCACACGGTCCTTCCCCTTCTGTGCCTGGCTGCTTTCACTGAACGTCCTGTCTTCAAGGTTCGCCCGTGCTTAGCCCGTCACAGCTCTGCCCATCTTCCTGGCCAGATGATATTTCATGTCACGGATGGAACGCATTCTGTGTATTTGTTAATCACTGATGGATGTTTGGGCTGTTCCCAGCTTTCAGTTGTTGTGAATGGTGCCGCTGTGAAGTGTGCACAAGTTCCCATGTGAACACGGACAGCTTTGGGATTCTCTTGATTATTTACCAACGGGTGGGGCCGCACGGCAACAGGTTTAATTACCCTAGGAGCCACCCGGCTGCCTGCCCAGGGCCGTGCCTTCACACCTGCCTGCAAAGCGCAAGCGTTACCATGTCTCTACACCCTCGTCAGCACTTGTTACTGTCTTTTTGGTTATATATTTGCTTTGAGTCAGAGAAATATCTGTCTTTAATTTTGTTTTGTTTTGTTTTATGATGGCAAAATGGGGGTACATGATTGTGGCAACAGTTTTGAGACAGTTAATATTTTTGGTGTAAGACCAGACAGATGAAGAAACTGTCTCTGAAGAGAAGGGACCGAGGCTCCTCCCTGCGTGGCAGCAAAAGGTCCACAACACATCACTTTGGGTCTCCTGTCCCAGGAGATTCCGCTTCCGACCAGGCAGGCTTGCCCCCTGAGCTCATCACAGCGTGAGTCTGGGTTCACATTGCCCACACTGGAGCATGGGCTGTGAAACTACAAGAGAAAAACACCTCACAGCAGAGAGCCCACGTGACAAGCACACATGCCTGACGGGCACGGGCGTCTCTGCAGCAGGCTCAGGCAGTGAACACGCAGACCCTTGCTTCCTCTAAATTCACAGGGCTGGCCCTCAGGTATGCGTAACAAAAAGAACGCCAGTTCCCTTTTCCTGGAGAAAATACAAGAGGTTCCAGAGCCTTAATCTACAACTCCAGTTCAAAGTTTCAAGTAGAAGGTGGAGAGAGGTGGGAACATTCTATTTTTGAAGGTTTCCCTATAAAATCTGTTACATACATATATATGTATGTTTTTTGGTGGTGTTATTGTTCAGTAATACCAGAAATGCATGGTAGAAAACTTTCAACTATAGGAGTCCAAGATTAAAAATTAAGAGTAGCCCTAAAGCCCCATGCCCATCTGTAGACGCACTCTCTAGAAATAACCACAGTTACTAATTTCTTAGTTTTTTGAGCTAGCATTTCAACTTTAAATAACAGTCCCATTGCTATTTCTTAGATCAACTTAAAATCAGCTGCTGGCTCCCTGCTGTGAAAGATGAAGGGTCTGGGGCCACATGGGTCCCCCTCCACTGTCATGTCCCACATTTCAGTGGAAAGGCTTCCGAGATTTCCCCATTTGGTGTGAGGTCGTGTCCCAGATTTCAGTGGAAAGGTTTCTGAGCTTTCCCCATTCGGTATGAGGTTAGCTATGGTTTTGTCATCAACAGGCTCTACCATTTTGAGGTATGTTCCTCTATACCCAATCTGTTGAGTTTTTGTCATGAGGGATGCTGAATTGTATCAAATGCTTTTCCAGCACTGACTGAAATAATCATGGTTTTTGTTCTGGGTTATATCCATGTGACCGATCACATTTATTGATGAGCAGGTATTAAACCATCCCTGCATTCCTGGATGAGTCCCACCTGTCATGCTGAATGGTCTTTCTAATGTGCTGCTGGCATCTGCTTGCTGGTGTCTTGCTGAGGACTTTTGTGTCTGTGTTCATCAGAGACATTGGCCTTTAGTTTTCTTTTTGTGTTGTGTCCTTGTCTGGTTTGGGTATCAGGTAACACTAACCTCACTGCTTGAGTTTGGAAGTATCCCCTTCTCTCCATTTGTTTGGATTAGTTTGAATATAATTGGTATTAGTTCTTTAAATGTTTGAATGATCCATCAGGGCCTGGGCTTTTTCTTTGCTGGGAGATTTTTTGTTCTGATTTCTACGTCTGTTCAGGTTCTGTTTCTTTATGGCCCCACCTTGGTAGGTTGTATGTGTCCAGGAATTTATAAAATTTCTCTAGGTTTTCTAATGTATTGGTGTATAGCTGTTCATAATAGTCTCTAGTGAGCCTTTGTATTTCTGTGCTATCAGTTATAATGTTTCTTTTTCCATCCTTGATTTTATTTATTGGGGTCTTATCTTTTTTTTTTCTTAGTCTAGCTAGAGCTTTGTCAATTTTATCTTTTCAAAAAAATCAGCTTTTCATTGTGTTGATCTTTTGTCTCTTTTGTCTCAATTTCATTCATTTCTGCTCGGATCTTTGTTATTTCTTTCCTTCTACTAATTTGGGGGTTGGCTTCTTGATTTTCCAGTTCCTTGTGGTGCATCACTAGGTTGTTTACTTGAAGTCTTTCTACTTCTATGACATAGGCATTCATTGCTATAAATGTCCCTCTTAGCACTGCTTTTGCTGTATCCCATAGGTTTTGGTATGTTATGTTTCCATTTTCATTTGTTTCAAGAAATTTTAAATTTTCCCTCTTAATTTCTTCCCTGACCCACTGGTCATTCGGGAGCATGTTGTTTAATTTCCATGTGTTTGCATAGTTTCCAAAGTTCCTCTTGCTATGGTTTCTAGTTTTTTTGATTGTGTTGAGAAAAGAGACTTGATATAATTTTGACGTTTTTTAATTTTTTGAGATTGTTTTGTGAGCTAACCTATAGTCTATCCTGGAGAATGTTCCACTTGCCAATGAGAATAATGTGTATTCTGCAGCTGTTGGATGAAATATTCTGTTAATGTTTGTCAGGCTCTTTTGGCCTAGAGTATAGTTTAACTCCAATGCTTCTTGTTGATTTTTCTGCCTGGATGACCTTCCCGTTGCTGAAAGTGGGGTGTGAAGTCCCCTACTATTATTGTATTACAGTCTGTCTCTCTCTTTAGATATATTAATATTTGCTTTATATATATCGGGGTGCTCTGGTACTGGGTGCATATATATTTACTATTGTTATATCACCTTGCTGAATTGACCTCCTTTTGTAGCCCTCATAAGGCTTATGAAAAACATTCAGTAGTTATAACAAGTTATTAAAACTGATACCAACTTACCTTTGATTGTAAAAAAAAGAGACAAAACCATGTACATGTTAACTCTCTTCTCCTCCCATATTTTGAATTTTTGGTGTCACAATTTATATTTTGATATTGCCTATCTCCTAACTAATTGTTGTGGTTATTATTTTATTAATTGTGTCTTTCATTCTTCTTACAAAAGATAGAAGTGGTTTACACACCATAATTACAGTATTAGTATGACAATCACATTAGCATCCTTTTCCTTTGGTTTGAAGAACTCCCTTTAGGGCTTCTTGTAGGACAGGTGTGGTAGTGATGAGTCTCCTCAGCTTTTGTTTGTCTGAGAAAGCTGCCATCTCTCCTTCATTTCTGAATGATAGCTTTGCTGGGTACACTATTTTTAGTTGACAATTGTTTTCCTTTAGCACTCTGAATATATCATCCCACTCCCTCCTGGCCTATAAGGTTTCTGCTGAGAAGTTGCTGCTAGGTATATTGGATCTCCCCAAAATGTTGTTTGCTTCTTTTCTCTTGCTGCTTTTGACATCATCTCTTTGATCTTTGAGAGTTTTTTGATTATAGTATGTCTTATTCTTATTTGGGTTGAATCTGATTGGTGACCTTTGACCTTCCTGTACCTGAATATTTCTATCTTTCTCCAGGTTGGAAAGTTTGCTGTTACTTATTTGAATAGGTCTTCTTCTGCCTTGTTTTTCTCAATTCCCTTTTTAACTCTGATAGCTTGAATATTTGTTCTTTTGATGTTGTCCCATAGATCTTGTAAGCTTTCTTCATTTCTTTTCATTTTTTTTCTTTTTTCTTCTCTGTGTATTTTCAAATACTCTGTCTTTGAGCTCACTGATTCCTCCTTCTATTTGATCAGTTCTGCTACTAATGCTCTCTCTTTCATTTTTGCATTTCATTCACTGTATTTTTCTGCTCTAAGATTTCCATTTGATTTTTTCTATTACTTCAATCTGTTAACTTTCTCTGATAAATTTGTAAATTCAGTCTCTGTTTTCTTGAAGTTCATTGAGCTTCCTGAAAACAGCTATTTTGAATCCTTTGTCTGAGAGATCACACATCTCCATCATCATGTTAGGGCCCGTCTCTCGCACCTTATTTTATCCATTTCGTAAGGTCACATTTGCCTGAATGTTCTTGGTGCTTGTGGATGTATGATAATGTCTGAATCCCAAGAGTCCCACAGAGAGACTTTTGACTGTGCATAGGTACAGAATTCTTGTTGTTGTGGGAAATATGAGCAGGTTACCTTCAATTCCACCACTCAATAAACTAAACATAGCATTACCATATGATCCACCAATTTCACTCCTAGGTATATACTTAAAAGAATTGAAAACTGGTGTGCAAATCAAAACAAACACGAATGTTCATAGCAGCACTATTCACAATAGTCCAAAAAGGTGAAAACAACCCAAATGTCCATCAACACATGAACGGATAAACAAAATGTGATATGTCATTTGTGGCTGCCAGGAGATGGGAAGTGATTACTTAAAGGATGTTCTTCTGGGGTGATTACAAAGTGTTGAAACTAGAGAGGGATGATGGCTGCACAGCATTGTAAATGTGCTAAATGCCACTGAATCGTACACTTTAAAATTCTTAAAATGCTGAATTTCATGTTATGTGTATTTTGCAACTTAAAAAAAACATGTTTACCTAAGTATTGATAGAGGCAACATTGGCAAATGTGAATGTGTTTAGTACACATGCATCACATTCTACCTGACATCCTTTTTTGGAGCAAGAAAGGGTATAAATAAATACTTCTTTTAGAGCTTATATTTAATTGTATTATTTTTATTTATGCATTTTGTTGGGCTATAATATACACTCAGTAAATAGAGCTCACACGTTTAGATATGTGCACAGCCACACAGTCAGTACCGAGACCGAGGCGCGGGCTCCCCCGCTCCAGAATCTCCTCTCATATCCCGCCCCACCTAAAGCTTAGCACTCTTCAGAGTTCTAGAGTCACCCTATTCTTACATCTCAGCTCAACAGAACCATGCAGTATGTACTTCATCTGCTGCTCTAGTAGGGGGTTAAAGGTGATGCTATTATTCTACCTTTCATTTTAATTCATGAAATGAAATAATTTTATAAGCGGAATTTACTATTTAGTAACCCATCAGTGAAGTTCACACAGGAAAGTCAGGATAAATGCTTGATTATTCCCTTTTATTTACTGGGTTTTCAAATAATGACTTGGCTACCTATCATCCTCCATTGGTGAATAATTTGGGGCTTTTCAGTAATTTTCTGCAATTATTTTTTATTGAGATGTAATTCACATATCATACAATTCACCCTTTAAGTGTAAACACAGTGGTTTTTAGTATATTCACAGAGCTATAAAACCATCACCACTAACTCCAGAGAATTTTCATGACCCGAAAAAGAAACCCCATACCCATTCCCACTCCCATCTCCCCTCCCTACAGTCCCTGGCATCCATTAATCCACCTTCTATCACTACAGATTTGCCTGTCCTGAACATCTCACAGAAATGGAATCACACATGTGGCCTCCTGCACCTGGCTTCCTTGATGCAGCCTCATGTTTTCTAGATTTTTCCATGCTGTAGTCTCAGGGCTTCACTCCTTCCTGCGGCTGATTAATGGAGACTTGTTTATGTCATGCACACACCTTCACATGCGTCCACTCACACTCACAAGTCATCAAAGAGCTCAAGCAGCAGGCAAGGCTCAGGAGAGGCACTCTGAGGGACAGGATGATGGGCCCGGCTGTTTCCAAAACCAGGTGGCTTGGGGCGACTCATCCAACCTCTCCAGGCCTCAGTTTCCCCATCTGTAAGCTGAGTGGCTGGGCCTCAGGTGACCCTGGGTCTCTTTCCAACTCCACAATTCTGTGATTTGAGCAAATAAGTCCAATCCTGAGTTTTGTCTCACTTTCTAATCCAGTAAAAGTTAAGCTATTGTGTTTACTTGACTCAGCAGAGTGTGTGGGGGCAGAGCAATTATGACATAAAACCACGATCCTCTTTGGTACTACAAGCTAATCAACGTTAATTTTTCACACAACGACTGGGAAAATCTGCCTACAGGAAGATGCCACCCTGGGTGGCACTGGTGTGCCGGGAGGGGGTGCTCTCCAGGTGGCCCTGGCGGCATCGGTGTGCTGGGAAGGGGGTGCTCTCTGGGTGGCCTGGGTGGCATCGGTGTGCCGGAAAAGGGGTGCTCTCCAGGTGGCCCTGGCGGCATCGGTGTGCTGGGAAGGGAGTGCGCAGGCCCACCCCGGCGTGCTGCCTGGGAGTCCACGTTCTCGAAAATGCAGGGTGACCCTGGCGCAGGATCGGGTCTGAGAGCTGCTCACCGACCCATGCCTCCTCTAGCAAATCGCCTCTCTCACAGTCACCTCAACAGCATCTCAGCCGTTGTCCGACACTGGGTGATTCTGCACGCCCGGCTCGGAACCCTGTGCATTGCCCATCTGTGAGCCGACCTCCTGCCTGAAGCCACCTTCTCATAGCGCTCAGTACTGGGGACCCTGGCCGGGAAGTTTGCACAGAGTATGAGCTCTGGCTGACCATCCATGTCCTGGGTACAACTCACCCTCCTCCGTGATTCAAACTGTTCCAGCCTGGAATAACCCGATTGCTCCTATGGGAACAACTGCTCCTTTCCAGCCAAATGACCCATTTCCCAAACGCCTTCCCTTTCCATTCTCTAAATACTGTAGCACCACACTGACTAGCGTGCGGGTCTCCACCACAGTTATGACCACCCTTCCCTCCTCGTCCCCCAAAGCACTCAACAGCTCTCCAGCACCCACCGAATGAAGCACTGACCCTTCAGCCAGGCTCTGGAGCCCCTACAAGCAACGTCCGTCTGTGTCCAGGCCGATCTCGCTGCTCCCTCGGACGTACTCGCCCTACACCCCAGCCAAACGCACTCCGTGTTTGCCAACATGTGCGCCTTTGAACATGCGTTCTCTCCGCCTGCAGTGCCCTCCTCTGTGTCTCAATCCTTCCCGTGCACCAGGCCACTCTGAGTCTGCTCCTCCACGAGGCTCCCAGATCACCCCCAAAGCCACCACACCTGTCCCTGAGTGTTCATGGCGTCACAGTTGTCACTGAGGCTGTGGCACTTCCCCTTCCACCAGGCACAGCAGCTATAGTTGTGTGCACACATCCCCTCCTGAACCGAGCAGTTCTCCGCAGATATGGGCTGACCAAATGAGCATCTTTAGAGCTAACTGGGAACTGTCCAGGGGCGAGAGGCCTGGGTGGTCTTAGTACTGTCACTCATCTCTGCTTCAGTTAACTTGAGCAATAAAATACCCTGCAGATAAGGTCAGACGGCAGGTGCCAGTGTGTCCTGAAAAGCCGCAAGTCTACAAGCAGCCGGCAACCTGCCCGGCTATGCTGTGTGCATCCCCACAGGGCGCCAGGAGCAAACACCCAAACACCCATCCTATTCCCGATTCAGGGCAATGGTCCAAAAGACGCCATCGCTGCTACATGAGACAGAACGTCACAGCGAAGAGGCAGGCAGCAAATAGATGCCTCAGGGCGTTTCTCAAAGAAAGGCATGATGCAGCCTGAAAACCCCACCAGAAGTGTCTTCCTGAAGCATCTAAACGCCCTCTGAGTTCCTTCTCCCAGAAGAGAGCAGTTACATGAAGCAGCAATCACAGAACGGAAGTGCCCGGCCACAAAGGCTGCCGTCCTTCTCCTCGTCCCAGTCCATCTTACAGAATGGCTCCCCTCTGCAGGGCCACACAGTTGCCCGGGATGCAGACGCTGAGACGGGAGCTGATGTGCAGGTTTCTAGGGCAAGAGGCGGGAGAGAGTGGGCAGCCGACAGGACGGGGGACGCAGCCTATGCGGAGTGGATGCCTCAGGAAGGCCCTGCCTGGGTCTCAAGGCCCCACCATGGGGTCTTGTCTCATTCGTGACCCTGTGCACGCCGTGCAGCAGTGCAGACGGCCGGGGCCCCACCACAGGGGGTCCAGGGAGACCACCAGCGAGAGAGTGGATACCCCTGGGAACAAAGCGGGCCCAGATGGAGACCTCAGACAAAGGCAGCTCTCAGCCCTCAGCTGAGCACGCCGAGGGGCTACAGCCCCCATCCAGGCCCAGGCCGGCTGCCAGCACAGAGAGGCCCAAGTGGACCCCAGGGCCAAAACCCCAAGTCTGGGGGCTGCAGGGGAGCACGGCACCTGGCTAAAGACACAGCACACAGGGCTACAGCGGGCAGCCTGTGGTCAACAGCTCATCAGCGACGAGCCAGGCCCAGCCAAGACAGCAGGAAAAAAAATCAAACGGGAGGCCATGCCCTCTACCCTGGGGGCAGAGCTGAGAGGACAGAGAACAGGCGGACAAGGCAACAGGGACCCAGGTGCGGGTCAGCAGGCGCTAAGGATCCCAGGGTCTGCGTGCCCAGCCAGGCCTCACACCAGCGACATCCAGGGGTCTGCACCAGAGCCATGGGGGAACAGAGACACGAACAGGTGAAAGTTCAGCAGGGCTGCAGGCGCCCAGGCCAGCCCTGAGGCAGAGACGTGAACAGGCGAAAGTGCAGCAGGGCTGCAGCCCTGAGACCTGGTGGGCTGGGGTCAGGACGTTAAGGGTGTGTGTGTGTGGAATGGGGCTGGCCGGCCCCCTCCCAACAAGATGTAGGAAACCCCATGGCCGGGATGAGGGGAGGCAGGAAGGGCAAGGGGCATGGAGGCCGGCTGAGAGTCCAGAGGAGAGACCAGCCCAGACCCAGGGAAGAAGGAACCCCGTGGGATGTCCCAGACAGCAAGGAGAGAGGCAGTGGAAGGCACAAGGGCGGGAGAAAGACCTCAGAAGGGATTTAAAGAATGAAGAAATAAAAGCTCTGAAATTTATTTTAACAGAGCTTTGGGCTACACTCTAACCTTTGCTTCAGCAGCACAAGAAAAAGAGGCTGCACAGAGTGGCCCCGCAGGCCAGAAGGCAGCAACGCCCACTGATGCCGGACCACAGCAGTCGGGGCCCGGCCACCCGAGCCCCCCAGACCACAGCAGTCGGGGCCCGGCCACCCGAGCCCCCCAGACCACAGCAGTCGGGGCCCGGCCACCCGAGCCCCCCAGACCACAGCAGTCGGGGCCCGGCCACCCGAGCCCCCCAGACCACAGCAGTCGGGGCCCGGCCACCCGAGCCCCCCAGACCACAGCAGTCGGGGCCCGGCCACCCGAGCCCCCCAGACCACAGCAGTCGGGGCCCGGCCACCCGAGCCCCCCAGACCACCCCTCCTTTTCTCAAGGTCAGAACAGCAGTGAAGGTCAGAGCCAGAAGCACAGCAGACGCTCCCAAGCCACAGGCAGCTGCTGAGGCCTGAGCCGGGGACGAAGCTCCTCCCTGCATGGGGACACGCGGGGCTGCAGCCACTCCCAGGCCTCCATCACACAGGGACGGTACAGAAATAGCGTGTCTTGTGGGTGGGTGCTGGGTCGGGGAGGGAGGGCGACTGCCTCTCCCTTTCCAGGCACATTTGGATTCCCCGGGGTGTCCGGGAATGACTCAGGCCTCTGGTCAGCGCTTCTCAGACCTGTGTTCACACAGCGCGTCTCCCTCCTTTCCCTCCCTGCCTGGGACCTAAGTACGGCTCTGTTTAAAACTGGCCCAAATGCAGGGTCAGCGCCTGAGATGCAGCCCCCACAGCAGCCCCCCCACAGCCCCCCCACAGCCCCCCCAGCCCCCCCACAGCCCCCCACAGCAGCCCCCCCACAGCCCCCACAGCAGCCCCCCCACAGCCCCCACAGCAGCCCCCCCACAGCCCCCCACAGCAGCCCCCCCACAGCCCCCCACAGCAGCCCCCCCACAGCCCCCCACAGCAGCCCCCCCACAGCCCCCCACAGCAGCCCCCCCACAGCCCCCCCACAGCAGCCCCCCCACAGCCCCCCACAGCAGCCCCCCCACAGCCCCCCACAGCAGCCCCCCGTAGCCCCCACCCCACAGCCCCCCCACAGCCCCCCTGCAGCCCCCCACAGCCCCCACATGCTCCACTCGATGCTCACACGCACAGTTTTATCTCCTTAACTCTAATGCTGTTTAAAAACTATTGTCCTAATCAAGCAAGAAAAACTGCAGGTTTGCAAAGCGTCTGCTCTGGAAGAGCGGCAGGCCAGGGTGGAGAGACCACACTGCCACACCTGAACACAGCAAGGCTTTCCAAACTCTGCGCAATAGGAAGACGCCGAATGGTAAATGGAGGAGCTCGCAGGAGACGCAGCTCTGACTCTGCCCCGCCCCGGCCCGCGGTGCTGAGGGCGCGCCGATGTGGATGCCTCTGTGCCAGCACCAGCGGCTGCCCCTCGGCCCCGACCCTCCCCACTGCGTCCTGGGGCACCCTCAGAGCTTCGGCCATGGGGTGCACAGCACCCTCCAAGCATTCTGAAAGGAGATTTTAGACTCTTGTGCGCAACACCCAGGAGCCGCCCGCCTGCAAAGCACTTGGTCAGCGTGGCCTGGAAAGGGGAGGAAGGTCCTGGAGGCAGGGCTCTGTCAGGCGGAGGACGTGATGCTCAGAGCAGCCAGGGACCCCCGTCTGGGCCCAGTCCCCCTGCGCTGCGCCCCACGGCTGGCTGGAAGTTTGTTCTGGAAACCACCTCCAAGACAAGTGCAGCAGCCGGCCCTAGCAGTTGGGAAGAAGGCGGCTGACGTGGCTTCCATGGAAAATGCCAGAAAGCACATCCCACACCAGGACACCTGGGCAAACAGCCTCAACTCGGAAAATCCCAGGCTGGTTCGGTCTCTCTGCTGCCCGGACCTGTTTAAATGTCCAGCCGTTTGGGAACTGTGTACCCTTCGAGAAACACTCCAAGGCCCCAGGGACACCGGAAGCCGTGGAGCCCGGGCCCCATGCGTCTGTGTTCTCGCCACCTGGAGAGGCTGCTAGTGACTGACAGGTGGACTGCGGGGCCTCAACTGCTACTGAGAATGCCACACAATTTTAAAAACTCAGAAATTGCTTATTTTTAGAATTTTCCATTTAACATTTTTGGACCACGGCTGACCACATGTGACTGAAACCGCAGGTGAGGGGGTGAGCGTCAGCCTGTGTCAGGCTGGACACACCTGGGGGCCTGAGGAGCAGCCGGGGGTGTAGGGACAGGGGCTCCCCACACCCACATGGATGGCCTGTGCAGTCACCAGCAAGGCGGGTTCTGCAGGCCTGTGTCCCGGCCAACGGCAGCCACCAAACCTCTCTGCACTTCTGTTACAGACAAGTCAGAGAGGCCCAGAAAAAGGGACCAAAATTGAAGAACCAGGGAATTTCAGAGGGAAGGGAAGGGAAAATCCAACTGGCAAGCAGACCCCTGGGCCATGTGCTAGGAAGGGGTTCTGCCCAGCGAGGTCTACCCCCAACCAGGACGGGTAGGCAGTGGCCCCAGCACCCCCTGCACCCCCACGGCCCACCAGGGGACTGCACCTCTACAGGAAGGACAGAGGCAGGAGGAACCCCTCAGGGCTGGAGAGTTGCCAGCCACTGCCCGTGCTGGGCCCCGCCCTGAGACAGTGTCTAAGCACCACCCCATGGACAATCCGAACCTGGAGGGGCCTGATCCCGGCCCTGACCCATGCCAGGGGCCCCAGCCGGCACTGCACGCCGGAGATCCGGGCTTTCCTTGGCAAACACGCTTGGCTGTCCTCGTTTCCAAGTCAGCCCTGTTGGTAAAACAGTGAAGCCAGCAGTGAAATACACGAAACCCGAACAGCCCCGGAGTTGGAACTGGAAGCTTCCAGGGAAGACGGCAGTGTCTAAGTGTCTCCCTTAACTGCTGTGGCTGCACCCGGGGTCCTGGGGGTGAGAGGCTTGTGGGCCCTGAAGTCACCTGCTGGATTCCAAAGTGGGCCATGCCAATGCCGTCTGGAAAACATACGGAAAATGTCATTCCCAGGAAATGTGGCACATCATTCACCCTGGACCACGGCACAAGGAAATCAACTCACCCTGGACCATGGCATAAAGACAGACGGGGCCCTCTCATCAGAAAGTGGGGAGCGGGGGTCTCAGTTTCCAAGGACCCCACAAGCGACGTCTACAGGGTGAAAGACCCCGTGCCCAGCACCGAAGGACCTGCCCGACACACAGTCCCCAGCCTTGAGCGGAGACCCCCAGACTGCATACAACTGTGCAAATGCACTTGACCTCCCTTTGGTTGTGAGTCACAGGACTGTCTTAAAAAGAGTGTCTTCTTCCAGTGCCAGAAAACAGAGAGACGGGGGCTGTGAAGCACAGGATCCACAGCGGGCGGGTGGTAGGCGGGCAGCAGGTGGGCGGTAGGCGGGCAGTGGGCAGGCAGCGGGCTGAGAAGCAGAGCAGAGCCCCAGCCAGGAGCCCAGAGGGCGGCAGAGCAGCGGGCACCGAACCAGACTGTCGGACCTGTGCTGGGGGAGAGCGAGAGTGAAGGAGGAAGAGAGACGGAGACAGAGAGACGGTGAGAGGGAGAGGGACAGAGAGGGAGTGAGAGCGCTTCCCACAAGAAGAACCAAGCTCAGGTCCCACCCTCCCCCAGAGCCTGGTGCAGCTGCGTGGGACGGGCAGGAGGTGCGAGGGGCCCTGTCTCTGACGTTTTGTGCCAGCACTGCCCTCTACACACAAACTCTCAGGAACCATCACGACCCCATTTTGCAGGAGAAGATGCTGAGGCCCAGGGCGGTGAGCAGGCCACATGGCCGGTGGCAGGGGCAGAAGTGGGACTGCAGCCCACCAGGTGGTGTCACAGCCAAGGCTGCGGCGTCACTGCCTGTCCTGCCTCACCTACCCCCAGGGCGACGCTCCCGACTAAACCACCTCTGTCCTATGGTCTCCGGGGCTTCCTGACCCCTGGGGAGGGCGGCAAAGCCTGTGGAGGCTGGAGTCCTGTGGGCTGGGGACGACGGGAAGACCAAGTCGTCTGTATAATCGCCGTGGGCGCAGCCGGCAGTGCCACCCACCCACCCACAAGGCAACACGGGGCCTGAGTCCAGCCCCAGGCAGGTGGGCTCCCAGAGTTGGGGTCCCTGAACCAAACCACCCCTGCTGCTCGCTCACCCCTAAGAGTGAGGCTGCGATGCTGTCAGCCAAGGACACTCACGTGGGCAGCTCCGGTGCAGCCGGCCCCAGGGGGAGAAATGCAGCTGTGGCTGTCGTGGAGGTGGCTGTGGCCAATGGCCGTGACTGTTGCTGTGTCTGGCAGAGAAGCCAGGTGCACTGGCTCTGTGCTTCAAGGAGACCTAGAGGGTCTCCCCCAAGTCCACCGGAAATGTGTGCACATTCGCCCTACCCCACTGTGTACCTGGCCCAAGTCGGGAGAGATGCCCAAGAGACCACAGCCAGCCTCAGCACAGTGAAGGCTGCCCTGGCCCTTCGGGGTGTCTGGGAAGAGCCTGGCATTCTCTCTGGGGTAGCTCTCACCCTTGCAAAGCACAGAGAACACCAAGAGCCCCAGACACACACTACATCCAAAGGGAAGGTCGGGCGGCTCCCAGACGGGGGACGGGGGGACGGGGGACACAGAACCAAGCCGCCGAGGAGCACCTGACACCGGAGCCCGAGTCTCGGCTCAGCACCACCACCCCCGATGCGTCCACACTGCCACGGCCACAGACACCCACCCCCGATGCGTCCATGCTGCCACAGCCACGGACACCCACCCCCGATGCGTCCACACTGCCGCCGACCACAGACACCCACCCCTGATGCGTTCACACTGCCCCCGGCCACAGACACCCACCCCTGATGACACCGGAGCCCGAGTCTCGGCTCAGCACCACCACCCCCGATGCGTCCACACTGCCACGGCCACAGACACCCACCCCCGATGCGTCCATGCTGCCACAGCCACGGACACCCACCCCCGATGCGTCCACACTGCCGCCGACCACAGACACCCACCCCTGATGCGTTCACACTGCCCCCGGCCACAGACACCCACCCCTGATGCGTCCACACTGCCCCGGCCACGGACACCCACCCCCGATGCGTCCACGCTGCCACAGCCACGGACACCCACCCCCGATGCGTCCACACTGCCGCCGGCCACAGACACCCACCCCTGATGCGTTCACACTGCCCCCGGCCACAGACACCCACCCCCGATGCGTCCATGCTGCCACGGCCACGGACACCCACCCCCGATGCGTCCACGCTGTCACGGCCACGGACACCCACCCCTGATGCGTCCACACTGCCACGGCCACGGACACCCACCCCTGATGCGTCCACACTGCCCTGGCCACAGACACCCACCCCCGATGCGTCCACGCTGCCACGGCCACGGACACCCACCCCTGATGCGTCCACACTGCCACGGCCACGGACACCCACCCCTGATGCGTCCACGCTGTCCCCGGCCACGGACACCCACCCCCGATGCGTCCACACTGCCGCCGGCCACGGACACCCACCCCCGATGCGTCCACACTGCCCCAGCCACAGACACCCACTGGTGATGCGGCCTGAGATGCCACCACACCCTGGCCAGAGGCTCAGTCCACAGCCCATACCCCATGACCTGTACCCACAAAACCTGCAGCTAGCAAGAACCGGCCTCTGCCTGACCCTGTCATCAGGGGCGGGAACTCCGGTGGCGGGCACACCCAGCGCAATTACAGGGCGAGCATCCGATGCCCTCCTAGTGGGCCGGCCACAAAGCCTCTCATCAGCCACCCCGTGGAGAACCACAGCCAAAAGCCTGAACCGCACAAGATTTGGCGTCTCAATGGCACCTTCAGAATAGGAGAAAATAGCAAATCGAAACTTTGGTTTTCCGTTCCTTATTTACGACTCAGGACAAGACTGCCTGAGAGAGCAGCAGACTCCAAGTGCAGGCTGCAGTGCAGTGTCTGTTCTGGAGGGGGGGCTACCGCCTCCCCAGCCCACACATGCTCACCCCTCCCTCCCCACACACACGTTCACACCCTCCCCACACACGCTACCCACTCCCCTCCCCACACACGTTCGCCCCCTCCCCTCCCCACACACGTTCACCTGAGCATTGCCCACACCAGCGTCAGCAGCCCTCACAGGAAGGGTGGCCCCCAGGCTCTCGGCCCCCCGAGCCCAGCTTCCATCTCGGGCCATAAACACCCTTTGGCCAATTGGCGCACCCTCCTCCAACAGACTATGACCTCCCCAAGCCCCAGAATCCCTGGAGATGGAGAGCACGCCTGGCCCCCAGTCAGGGCAGGTAGTCTCCAGGGCCAAGCCGTCACCTCAGAAGGGTGGGTGGGGCTCTCCCCAGGAGGAGGGCAGGTCCGGGACTGGGAGGACGACCCCCACGCAAGCCCCCACCCTGCCCTTGGGCTCCAGCCTCATCCCCAGCAGCCGCCAGCCCTCTGAGATGCCAGGGTGCCATGGACCCTGCACTGAGGGGTGCTCACTGGGCAGCCGTGTGACCAGCAAGCAGAGGCAGGTTCACAGCAGCAGTGGAGCTCTCCAGAGGCAACTCCACCAAGGGGTGCCGCAGAGCTCTGTACCCCCAAATTTATGAGGAGCCCGGCTTTGGGAGGGGACACCTAGGGGAAAAGGGCTCAGGAGGCCTCAGCCAAGGAGGAGCAGCACTGGCAGCCCCCCTCCTCCAGCACGGGGACAGGGACCACCGGCATCGAAGCTCCTCACCTGCCTCCTGCCTGACAAGGCCACAGGCACATCCGGGGCCAGCACTGACCAGACGCTCCCTCCGCCTCGCTTCACCCAGCCTGAGGCTGGACGGGAGGCACTGGCGTCTGCAGCACATCCACAGCATTCCAGAAACGACAGAAACCAGGCCAGGCTCTGAGCAGCCCGTCCGTTGTCCTGACACCTGACCATGACGGCATATTTACGGTGTCTTCTCAATCTTTGAAAAATATTTTTAAGAGAACATGAGAACAAATCAATATTCCAGTGGCCTAAGGAAGTCAGCTAGCTGTGAAACTATTACGGTAAGCTACACAGTGGGGGAATCAGCGTGGGGGAAAGGAAGCGGGCATTCCACAGTGCAAGACTCTGACACACAGAGCGTCTTGCACCCGCCCTGAGCTGAGCAGTCCTGACCCTAAAGAGCTGCCATTCCTCTGGGGCCACGGCAGGAAATCGCAGGCACTGAGTGGGAGGAAGAGGATGACCGGGTGTTGGGATGGGTGCACATCGCAGAGCGGCACACGGCAGCCTCCGGATGGGCGCATGGCAGAGCGGCACACGGCCTCTGCTGTCTTTTCCGATGAACTTTCAATAATACATAGAAACATATGGGTTTAATGTTTCCTGTGTGTGTTTACAGATGTGTGTTTAATATTGAATATGTGTGCGCGCACCGTATCTCCACGGAGCAAAATAAGAATGGAGAGAAACTAACGCAAAGAAAGACGCTAACGTGCCAGGCTTTCAGTGGGGACAACTTCTCATTCTTGAAAACTTAAAATTAGCTTTTCCAAAACATCTATAAAGCAACAGAAATGCTTACAAATTTAACAGCATTTGAGATTATTGTAAATAAAAATGATAGGTCTAATTTTTCTTTTGCCAACATTTCCTTCGTTTATATTGACAGTCAACTCATTACGTGTAACAATAATGGCAATTTTTCCTAATGAAGTTTAAACATAAAATATAAAACAATGTAATTCGGAGCTTTGTAAATAAATGCCCATTTTACTTAGCGTAGGTGTAGAAATTCACACCCAAGTCCCACTTAGAACACGCTTCCCGCTCCGGAGCATAAGCCCCTGGCGTGGGGAGGGGTTGGGCTCTGTCTGAACTGATCACCACCACTGCTTTATTAATTGTTTTTGGCTTAACACCTGAACCAGCTGGGTGCAAACTATGACACACATTACAAAACCACCTGTCCATCCTCCAGGCACATGGAAGGCACACGGCCCACAGAAACCAAACTATATGCTGCGTCCCATTTAGAAAGCTCTGCGTATGTTTAAAATTAAAAGTCTTATAAGGAAACTATTTTTCTGTATTTTAAAATGTTCTTAATTACAAAGAAATAGATATTCATTCTAGCCAGTTAAGTCTCCAGGTAGAAAAAGTTAACTCTTTTCCCTCCCTCAGCCAGGCCCCCCCAGAGCCACATCTGGCAAGGACGGCTTGGTGTGCACGCCCACACCTCCTCTCTCGTGCACGGCCACATCTGGATCAGATGTGCAGGCATTTCAACATGGCAGTCTCCATCCAGCCACGGTCTGCGGACAGCGTTCAGGCTCCAGCCTTGACCCTGGGCACCTTGACCCTCACGGGGTACGTGGCCTGTGTGTCTGCCTTTGTGTCCTGGTCCTCGCAGGGGACAGGCCTGTGTGTCCCACGTTCGTGTCCTGGTCTTCGCAGGGGATGTGGCCTGTGTGTCCCTCCTTCGTATCCTGACCCTTGCGGGGGACGGGCCTGTGTGTCCCTCCTTCGTGTCCTGACCCTCGCGGGGGACGGGCCTGTGTGTCCTGCCTTCGTGCACCCTGACACCATGGGTCTGATTTTCCCACGCTGGAGGTCTGCTTCTGAACAGCTGCATCTCCTCCTGCAGGGGAAGCTGTCTGTTCACCCAGGTGCCTGTCCTGTCTGAGGGCTGGGCTCTTCCTACCCAAGGGTTGGGGGCTGGCCTGTCCCTCATGACCCAGGCAGGCGGCCAGGGCTCCCCGGAACTCCAGGCTGCTGCGGGTGTCTGCTCTGCCCTGGGTGAGGCTCTAGAAGATTCCTGTGGAAGCGACTGTGTCTAGGGGAGCCCATTCCCCAGTTTAAAGGACGTCCCCCCCCATGGCTATCCACATGCCCAGTCCTCTCAGGAAGTTCCAGGCTGCCAGGATCAGAGGAAGCAGAAGCCGCTGTCCTTCAGCAGGACCCTGCAAAAGCAGGATGAATCAGCGGGGCCATTCAGAACAAGGTTCAAATTACTGCTGCACTTTTCAGAATGGAGCCAGGCTCAGTGTTTCAGAACCAGAGGCTGACGCGGATCAGCTCGCACCCAGCCTGGGACCTGAGCCAGCCCCTGAGTGCCACTCTCCACGGCCGCCTCAGAGGGTAAGCCTCTCCAAGCCTGCTTCCTCGCCGGCATGGTGGGGGTGGCCCTGCCATCCCCTAGGGGCTCTGCGGGATCCCCTGAACACTACGAAAAACCTGAGCCCCACTCCTGGCCACTGGGTAAGGACCTCTCCGAGCCTTTCTCCTTCCCATTCACTCCCACCCCCAGGCAGGAGCGACCAGTGCTGAGAAGTCCTATCATCCCACAACCCATCATCCTCCGTCATCCCCTGTCCGTCACCCCGCAGCTGTCATCCCCCATCACCCCGTGTCTGTCACCCCGCGTCTGTCACCCCATGTCTGTCACCCTGCATCCGTCACCCCGTGTCTGTCATCCCCGTCCGTCACCCCATGTCTGTCACCCTGAAACCATCACCCCATCTGTCACCCCACATCCGTCATCCCGTGTCCATCACCCCGCGTCCATCACCCCCATCCGTCACCCCATGTCCGTCACCCCATCCATCACCCCGCGTCCATCATCCCCCATCCATCACCCCCCGTCCGTCATCCTCCGTCCATCACCCCACGTCCATGATCCCCCGTCCGTCACCCCGCATCCATCACCCCATGTCCATCACCCCACGTCCATCACCCCATGTCCATTATCCCCTGTCTGTCACCCCGCGTCCGCCATCCACATCCCATCACCAGGTGCTGTTTTCTTGGTGCTAGAGCAAGGTGGGATTCACACCTTGTGTGCACAGCTTCTGAGTCACTGGGCGGCTGGGCACAGCCTAACTCAGGAGCAGGGACCCACGGAGGGTGTGGCGACGACACAGCCCTCAGCTTGCTCTCCAGGAGTTCTTCTGATACCTCGAGGACACTCTGGACCCTGTGTCTGGGTCCCAGCCCTTCCGTAACAACGTGGCTCCTCTGAATCAGTCACAAGGAAGATCCAACTTAACACAGAGAGTTTTTCCCAAACAGCAGAACTGGCAGCAACACAGGCATCCTGCAGTTCAGTCCACTGCATGCAGCGTGCAGGTGTCGGAGGGCGAGGCTGCCGTGGGCTCCCGGCGGACGGTGGCAGGGCAGGCCCAGGTCTCTATCACAGCAAGGCCTCTCCACTCGGCCCCCTCCACCTGTTTACAACCTCAAGCTGGGTCAAAACCCCAGGGGTACTCAGAGGGAGTGTTTCTCCCCAACTGGATTCCTTAAGCCAGAGGGCAGGCGGCAGGGTCCTGGCCTGACAAACACACACGGGCCCCCGAACACGACCGGCTCCGTGACCGTCACAGGACGTTCAGGTGGCTTCATTTTCAGTCCACGCCTCTGGTGCCAGGGTCTTGCTTGGCACTTGTGTGAACGGCGACCACGTGAAGCCTCTGTCTTGAGAAAAGTGTAAACAGCAGCTGCCTTTCAAGGCACTGAGGCCTTCCTCGAACTCAGCTCGTTTGTGCTGCGTGGTTCCCAGTCCAAACCCTCCTGTTCACAGCCTCCTCTTGCCTCAAGCATCTTAGAGCTCCACTCCAATCCACACCCCAGCTGCCTTTTACAAAATCCCAAGCCAATGACAGCTTGAAAATAAAGTGAGAAAAACACCGACCAACATTTACTCAGCACCTACGGTGGGCTGCGGACGTTGACACAGGGTCCTCTCTAATCTTCCATACAGATCAGCCATGAGGGCCGCGGAGAGGAGAAAAGCACAGCTGAGCTGTTTTCTCTTAAAGCAACATAAACGTCAAAGCAAAACTGGAGCCCAGGACTCTCTGACTTAAGCTCATCCTCCTTCTGCTCCATCCCGGCTGTGCACACCTGGAGACCAGGCCCTCGAGCCTCCAAACGCCGTGAGCAGCCTCCTCCTGCTGTGGCTTCCAAAGAGACGTCACCAGAGGCGGGGCTGGCGCAGGGCCACGAGGCAGGCGACTGGGTCTCTTTGACCGGGGGTGGCCTCGCGGCGGCACGAGACTCAGCATCGTGTGGGTCTAGCTCTGGGAATCGAGGCAGCCCCCAGAACACCCTTGGGGCGCAACTTCCCGGTGAACGTCCCGTCTCCTCAGCCACCCACAGATGCTGCCACAGCTGCACCCTCAGGGCAACGAGCGTCTGGCGGAGCCCAGTGAGAGCCGTGAAACACAGACCTCAGGGCCAGGCCCTCTCCCCATCACAGAAACCTGACCAGTCACAGGTGGCTGCAGCCTGGGTGGTTGGTAAAAGAAAAATTATTCCTTCTATAACCAGAAAAAAATAGTGAATCAACAGACACAGAAATGCTCAGAATAAAACAAAAAATCTAAGTCAGTGGGACAGAATTCAGCAGTCCCCAGGGGGGCCTGGAAGCTGGACCCCTGCTCTGGGTCTACGGGCTTACATGGCTGCCAGGACCAGGGAGAGACAGACCCGGGCCCCTGACCATACCCTGTGCTGTAACGCCTGCAAGGTAGATTTTAAGTAATTTAAAAATTATCAAAAGGATAACATTTCATGCCTGTGAACATTACGTGCAACTCAAATCTCAGTGTCTGAAATAAGGTGAAATGGATACAGTCCGGCTCACTGGACGGCACCGTGCCTGCGGCTGCTTCCCTGCACAGCTGCATGACCCCTGGCCCTACACAGGACAGGTTCTGCGCACTCGGCCGCCACCTTCCTTACACGGCTTCTCAGGAAAGCAGCAGGCAGCTGTGGCCCAGCGTGAGCCGGCAAAGCACTTCCCTCCCAGAGCCCCGTTTCCTCATCAGCAACAAACACAACAAGCTTCCTCCCCTGGCTGCTGTGAGGACCGACAGCCCCTCCTGGCACCTGCACAGGGCATGACACGCACATCACAGCCGCCTTCACCCGCTCAGCCTCCCGCGTCCCCACAGCCCGGACCGGAGCCTCAGAGCACCAGGACACACCCATCCGGACACCGGCAGGTTTGACACCACAGACTGTGCTTGGCTGGGGAGTGAGAATCCTCCTGAGAGAGCCACGGTGTCCCAGGTCGGGGGCAGCAGAGTGAGGGTCTGGCCGTGGGCCCCGGTCGGGGGCTGAGCCACGCTCTGGTCAGGAAAGACATCGCCAGACACCTGTCATAATCCAGGGCTGCTCAAAGTAAAAAAAAAAAAAACCTAAAACTGCAACATGGAACGGCACAAACGAGCTGCAGGCCGAGTTCTAACGGGCTGAGCCTCAAACCAGCTGCAGGCCGAGTTCTAACGGGCTGAGCCACAAAGAGCTGCAGGCCGAGTTCTAACGGGCTGAGCCTCAAACCAGCTGCAGGCCGAGTTCTAACGGGCTGAGCCACAAACGAGCTGCAGGCCGAGTTCTAACGGGCTGAGCCTCAAACCAGCTGCAGGCCGAGTTCTAACGGGCTGAGCCACAAACGAGCTGCAGGCGGAGTTCTAAGGAGCTGAGCCTCAAACCAGCTGCAGACCGAGTTCTAACGGGCTGAGCCACAAACGAGCTGCAGGCCGAGTTCTAACGGGCTGAGCCTCAAACCAGCTGCAGGCCGAGTTCTAACGGGCTGAGCCACAAACGAGCTGCAGGCGGAGTTCTAAGGAGCTGAGCCTCAAACCAGCTGCAGACCGAGTTCTAACGGGCTGAGCCTCAAACGAGCTGCAGGCCGAGTTCTAACGGGCTGAGCCTCAAACGAGCTGCAGGCCGAGTTCTAACGGGCTGAGCCTCAAACGAGCTGCAGGCCGAGTTCTAACGGGCTGAGCCTCAAACGAGCTGCAGGCCGAGTTCTAACGGGCTGAGCCTCTAAGGAGGGAAACGTCACTTCCTGCCTCACACAGAGCCCAGCGTCTCCATGTCCACTGATAGCCTTGGTATTTGCAACTATGTCCATGACCATCTCTGTTTCTCCAAAACAGCCTCTAGCTACATAAACTGTTTAGAAAACCTCATGCGTAAAGCAGAGTATGTCAAACCTCCATCTGTGGTCAGGAGTTAGGACATCCCCAGCTGCAATTTGAGCAAAGACGGCGCTTCCAGAGGATCATCGGATCCTGTGTCTTGGTTGGGGTTGGGGCCCATCAACTTAAAATAGCTTCTGTTTATGCTGGTGAAGGAGGCACAGACTTCACCCTATCTAATTCCAAGGAACAGGCGAGGGTGGGAGCTGTAGCGGAAGAGACAAAAGCAAAAGGCAGATTCGCCCCTTTGTGTGGTCCCGTAAGTGACACTGTCCCTCCCTCTCCCTGGAAACAGCAGCCCCCAGGCACCCCCCCCAGCAACTGGGACAAGGGCACACCAGGCTAATTTTTAATCAGATGGATTTAGTGATAGCAAATAAAGAGAAGGAGAACAAAACCCTCAGCCAGGCTATTGTGAATGGGTGTTACCAAAAAATGGCATTAGCAGGGCACCAGGGGCCAGGCCAGCTCCAGGCAGCCCCGCATCTGCTCAGCAATCCCCGGAGTCTTCTAGGGGGCCTGGGGCAGCCGGAACCTGGCCGGGTGGAGGATTTCTACCACGAGAAAGTCAGGGCCCTCCCCGAAGGAGCAGAAGCTCTGCGGGTGACTGTTTGGGAAGCTGGTCTGCTCCTGATACTCTGCAGGAAGAGAATCACACTCTTTAGACCGGGGTCTCAGATTTCAGCCGGACGGGAACTCTCTGCAGGGCCGGTGGAAAGAGATCGCCAGCCCCAGCTCTGTAGGGGTGCGGCCTGCCTCGAGCACTTCACACGCGTGCCCGGGGATGCTGGTGCTGCAGGTATGGGGACCCCGCTAGGAGAGCCCCGGGTTAAGGGTTGGTAACTGGAGAATGGGGTGGGGGTATGCCAGCTCTCCCTGCTTGCCCTGGTCCCACACACTCAGGCCTGTGTGGCCAGCGTGGTCCTCCTTTCCCACAGCCAAGGTGCCCCGACTGCCAGCGTCCACTCCCCGTGGGGCCGCAGGGTACACCAACATCTGAGGCAGAGGCACCGCTGTGGGCTCATCTCTCAGCTCAAAGGGTTTCCAAGAGAATCCTCAGCAAAAAAGCAACACTCGCCGTTCAGAGAGTGAATGAGAGGCCAGCAGGGGGCTGGGAAGGTGCTTAGCTCAGGGAGGGCTGGAGGGTGGGACTAGGAGGCACTAAAGGCCTGGGGGCTCAGAGAAAGGCCCAGCCCATCCCAGCAGAGGCCGACCAGGACTCCAGAGCCCGTGGAGGCCCTGCCATGCACGGGAAGCCTTTCCCGACTTGGGGGCAGGAGCTGGAGGGCTGGGATGATCCTAAGGGGATGCTCGGCCATAAGCCACATGCCAAGTCCAGAGCCCAACAGCTGCTGTACCTCCTGGGCTGTTTCCACGGATGAGGCTTCTCTGAATGTAAGTTTGTCTGCTCAGCCACACCGGCCTCCTCCTGGCACATCGTCTCTCACAGGCACCTCCTTCCATGGAGACTGGGGGCCTCAGACGGCTCTTCCCGACAGGGCCCTGCACTTGGGCAGATGCACCTGTGGCTTGAGCTCAGCACAGCACATAGTGGCTGGCAAGGAACGGAAGGAGAATTGGAGAAATGTATCTAAAATGTCAAGCAGACCTCTGCTACACTCACTGGGAAGAACCATGTTGCTTCTGACGAATTTCTTAAAAAGAGAGAAAGATGCCAATGAGAAAACCAGAGGGGACAAATGCTACCCGGGAATGTAAAACAGTTGCCATCAGAGACTGGCTGGCTCACATTGTGTCCACCAATCCACCCACCACGGCGAGTGATGTCCGTACAGCTCACACCGCATCCATCAATCCACCCACCACGGCGAGTGATGTCCGTACAGCTCACACCGCGTCCATCAGTCCACCCACCATGGCGAGTGATGTCCGTACAGCTCACACCGCGTCCATCAGTCCACCCACCATGGCGAGTGATGTCCGTACAGCTCACACCGCGTCCATCAGTCCACCCACCATGGCGAGTGATGTCCGTACAGCTCACACCGCGTCCATCAGTCCACCCACCATGGCGAGTGATGTCCGTACAGCTCACACCGCGTCCATCAGTCCACCCACCATGGCGAGTGATGTCCGTACAGCTCACACCGCGTCCATCAGTCCACCCACCATGGCGAGTGATGTCCGTACAGCTCACACCGCGTCCATCAGTCCACCCACCATGGCGAGTGATGTCCGTACAGCTCACACCGCGTCCATCAGTCCACCCACCATGGCGAGTGATGTCCGTATAGCTCACACCGCATCCATCAATCCACCCACCACAGCAAGTGTCTGCGATGTCTGTAGTGTCTGCGATGTCTGTAGTATCTGCAATGTCCATGCAGCTCTCACCATGTCCATCAATCCACCCCACCACGGTGAGCGTCTGCGATGTCCGTGCAGGGGAGAGAGACCTGGCCTATCCTCAGCACAGCCCATGTGACGTTAGAAAGGCAACCGCAAATTCAGCTGCGGAGTGCAAAACGAATTTCCTCCTGTCACACGCTAACTTTCTGTTCTGGATTTCCTGGGGTTTCCTTTATTAGACTTGAGTCCAGAACTCCTCTAGAAACATTCTCTGGGATATCTTGACCTGGCACGCAGAGGGGTGAAGGAACGGGGACACGGATGGATGGAGGGAGATGAACTAATCAGCAAATGCTCCTTGCACATTTCCTAGCTCTGTCAGCCAAAGTGAGGTCTGACCACAAAAGCTACCCATTCACTTGCTAAATGGTGCAAAATGGGCCCAGACCCTCATTTTACCTTTACTTAAATAACAGCATATTCTCGTCTGGTCTTTAAACCACACAGGCCAAAATGAGTTGAGCACTATCACATATTTAATTGACTCGTAAAAGCAACTTGTTTTTCTTCATCCTTCGCCGACCTTTGTTTATGGGTAACCCTTGATAACATGTGGGCAGGGTTTCAGTGTAAACCCGAGGGCAGGTTAAACACGCTCCCTCCAAAGCTTACTTGGCTTTGATTTTTCAACCACCCGCCCTCATGTGCAGGGACAGGGCAGAGTCGTGACCAACAGTGGAAAGACCCATAGCTCCCAGCTCCAGGGACGACGCGGGGGTGCTAAGCTGGTAAGCTGGGAAATTCCCGGGCACGACCCCTGGCCGTGGGTGAAAGCACCCCCAGCCCCACCCCCAGCTGTGAGATGCTGCAGGTTCCCCAGCCCCACCCCCAGCTGTGAGATGCTGCAGGTTCCCCAGCCCCACCCCCAGCTGTGAGATGCTGCAGGTTCCCCAGCCCCACCCCCAGCTGTGAGATGCTGCAGGTCCCGGCAGGAGAAGGCTTCTCCACAGAGAGGCCGCTGAACAAGGCACAGGGCCAGGTCTGGCCGTGTAAAAATACTTGGAACCCATGGGGGGCTTTGTGTGTGGTGTCATCGGCAGCTTCCATTATGTCCAGCGGTAACATGTTTACGGTCCCTGTGCCGCCGTGCGGTAGCAGTTTTCCCGAGTGTCTCCTGGCTGGGACGGCTGGTGAGGATGTGAGTTCAATAGATGAACACCCCACCTTGGTGACACAGAGGCTGGACAGTCACACCGACCCTTGGCCCGGGCGAGGCCACGTGTCCCACAAAACATAAGGCTTGGGTTAGTGTCGGGCACGCGGGGGAGGTGCCTGCCTGCGTGAAGACTGGTCACAAGACAACTTCCCAGTTTAGAAAATGGTTAACTGATTCATTAATACTCACTTCCTGTCGCAAGAGACTCATGCCCTAGAGATAAAGCCGTCGGAGGCAGAGTGCAGGCCTCGAAGCAGCTGGTCATGTCCACGCCCTCTGCAGGCCTCGTGTCCCCCTCGCTGTCGCCTGCCGATTTGGTGGCTCCTCTCATAACACACAGCCTCCTGTGTATGTTTTTACCCTACAAACGCTCTCTAACCGGTCCAGAGGTCAGAAACAGCCGCAGTCTCCTACCTCTATTGCTTCTCAAGGGAAAAGCACAGCCTGGAATGATGAGGAGCCCCCACGCCTTCTCAGTCTCCTGTAACGACGTTGCTACAGATGTATGTGTTTGTGTGAAGCTGTATTTAAATGTGAGATTATTCTTCTTGGTTAATATTTTACTTTCTGTCATAACCAGCAGGCTTAAAGAAGAAACCCAAACGCTCTGTGAATGGGACATGTGCTCAGAGGCGTCTGCAGTTGAGGCGGGTGACGTTCTGGGGTCCCTGGGAAGTTGTCATCACCCTGCTGACATGAGTGTGGATGTTGAGGCCTGGAGGGTGACAGGTCACACAGCCAGAGCCTGGCAGCAGCGCAGGGGCGGAACCCCGGGTCCCCTGTGGGCCTGTGCCCTCTCGGCCAGCCTTGCAACGCGCAGCTAACGCTCTTCAAGAAAACATTCTCTGGAGGAATCCTGCTGGTCCTGAAGTTTTTGGCCTTGAGAAGGTCATCACAGACACCCCTCCCCTCGGGCCAGGCCTGCTGTCTTGTCTAAGGGGCCCTATTTTATCTGAGGTGATTTGCAACTCTGAAACACACATACATAAAATAGAAATACCGTCCTCACTATTAACCTAGAGACCCCCATCCCTACCCCTCCCTATGAATGCTTTTTCATAAACATGCCGCATTCTGAGGAATCCGAAAGACTCCAGCGTAGGACAGACCGCTGTTCCAAGCCACTGGGAAAGGGGAAACTGGTGACTGAGCGGCGCCCGTCAGAGCCATTAAAACGTGAGGGAAAACTGCACCTTACGGCACACGAACCCTTAGAAGAGGCAAAACACTACTGAGTTAATGCTTAATTTATTTGTAATGATAAAAGTTTTTATCACTTTAAATAAAGTTATTTGAAAAAAGTTATTCAATGGCAGCCTAATAATTTTGCTTAATGAAAAATTAACTCTGCAAATACAGTTTCCACTATTCACATGGAGCCTGCAGGTTTGGAGAATCCTCTGCATCAGTGTGGGTGAGCACGTGTGTGAGGGGTGCACGTGTGTGAGGGGTGCACGTGTGTGAAGGGTGCACGTGTGTGAGGGGTGCATGTGTGTGAAGAGAGCACGTGTGTGAGGGGTGCATCAGTGTGGGTGTGCACGTGTGTGAGGGGTGCACATGTATGAGGGGTGCACGTGTGTGAGGGGTGCACGTGTGTGAGGGGTGAGCACGTGTGTGAGGGGAGCACGTGTGTGAGGGGTGCACGTGTGTGAGGGGAGCACGTGTGTGAGGGATGCACATGTGTGAGGGGTGCACGTGTGTGAGGGGTGCACGTGTGAGAGGGGTGCACGTGTGTGAGGGGTGCATGTGTGTGGGGGTGCACGTGTGTGAGGGATGCATGTGTGTGAGGAGAGCACGTGTGTGAGGGATGCATGTGTGTGAGGAGAGCACGTGTGTGAGGGGTGCACGTGTGTGACAGATGCATGTGTGTGAGGAGAGCACGTGTGTGAGGGGTGCACGTGTGTGAGGGGTGCATGTGTGTGAGGGGTGCACGTGTGTGAGGGATGCACGTGTGTGAGGGGTGCATGTGTGTGAGGAGAGCACGTGTGTGAGGGGTGCACGTGTGTGACAGATGCATGTGTGTGAGGAGAGCACGTGTGTGAGGGGTGCACGTGTGTGAGGGGAGCACGTGTGTGAGGGGAGCACGTCTGTGAGGGGTGCATGCAATGCTCCTGTATGCACATCTGTGGGTGAGCACGTGCGTGAGGGGTGCACATCTGTGGGTGAGCACGTGCGTGAGGGGTGCACATCTGTGGGTGAGCATGTGCGTGAGGGGTGCACATGTGTGAGGGGAGCACGTGTGTGAGGGGTGCATGCAATGCTTCTGTATGCACATCTGTGGGTGAGCACGTGTGTGAGGGGTGCACGTGTCTGAGGGGTGCATGTGTGTGAGGGGTGCACGTGTGTGAGGGATGCACGTGTGTGAGGGGTGCATGTGTGTGAGGGGTGCACGTGTGTGAGGGATGCATGTGTGTGAGGAGAGCACGTGTGTGAGGGATGCACGTGTGTGAGAGCACGTGTGTGAGGAGAGCACGTGTGTGAGGGGTGCATGTGTGTGAGGGGTGCACGTGTGTGAGGGGTGCATGCAATGCTCCTGTATGCACATCTGTGGGTGAGCACGTGTGTGAGGGGTGCACGTGTGTGAGGGGTGCATGCACACACACCTGTAAGCATGTGTGTGAGGGGTGCACGTGTGAGGGGTGCATGCACACGCACCTGTGTGCACATGTGGATGTTGCCGTGTGCACGTGTGCACACCAAGTGTCCGTGAGTGCACGGGAACAGCCGTTTAGAAGTGCCTTAATCTTCCCGAGCACAATAGTAGCTCACCTCTGCAAGGAGGCTGAAAATTCTCATTATGAGTCTCATAAATACGTGGCCACGTTCATGGGTTTGTCTTATTTATCCCTTACTCTATAATAACTTGGAAGGCACAGCCAATATTTCCCTTATATCCTGGGACAGCCCCAGTTCATGGCTCCCGACGACTGCAGCTGCCTCCTGGGAACCCCAGGGGGGCAAACTCAGGCCCACCCCCGCCTGTGTGACTCAAACCCCCCAGCCAAGTGCCTGTGGGAGGACATTTTAGTGGGTGGGGAAGCTTCTGAAAAATCACTTTACTCTAACTAATATTTGTAATTAACACATCAAGTAAAACTAAAAGCTTTTGCCTTGCCGTTGTTGCCTTTTGGTGGGTGACCTCAAAAAGTCATCCATCTCACACTGACTCTATCACATCCCAACTCTAGCCCCAAATCCTAATAAACACACCAGTTAAGAATGCATGGCACATTTTTACAAGCCTCACAACTTTCTGATTAGATGCATAGAAATGTCCCAAATATTTCTGAAATATTTTATTTGAAAACCGATGTCACCGCCACTTTTAAGCCACAGGCATTACACTAAAATCTGGACTAGCGTCTAAGCAAGTGGCAGCTTTTGAGCTCCGCACACTCCGTGTGACCATCCACAAATCTATGATGAATTATTAACCAGACCAGGCTAGCCCACTGCCTGGCCTTCTCTGCTGAAAGTCAGCAGCTGTATCCTGCCTGAAAAACACCAGCATTCTTGTGTTCATAAAACCCGCTGGTTCCAGTGCAGCTACCCAGAGGGAAGCCTTGGGTGTGGGCAGCGACAGGGGTGTGGGTGCCACCGTGGGGTCCCCCAGAAGGAAACCAGGGGAGCACAGAACTAAATGGTCACCCATGACAATGAATCGTGATCTGGTGGGAAGAAATCAAAGTGCTTTTATTTGGAGATGAAATTGGCTGCCTGCCCCTCCCTCTCCACCCCCCGCTTTCCTCCTGACCCACCCACCCCAGCTCTTTTCCCCGGCCTGGGAAGGGCACATGGAGGGCAGAAAGGGCTTCCCTAAAGAAAACACAGAAATACACTTTATAAAGCAAAATAAACTTAAAAAAAGGCACTTAGCAAAAATGTAGTGAGAAGTGTTTTTTCCTTTCCAGTCTTTCATTTTCACTCAGCATTTCCATAAACACATTCTTGGGTCCAAATGCTGAGAAACTCTTTCTCTAAATACTGGAGGAGCGCTAAATGGAGCAGGAAATGATGGAGAGAGAAAGGAATGCCACTGATTCCAGACGGATGGGACCAGCTGGGGAATTCAGGAAGCGGTACGGAGGTCCCGGAGACAACTGCTCACGCCTCTGAGGGGCCGATCGCTCAGGATCCCCCAGCAGCAGCGAGAGAACCAGCAGGGCCCCCCTCCCCTCTCCAGCCAGGCGTCGATCAGTGCCCCCCTCCCCTCTCCAGCCAGGCGTCGATCAGGGCCCCTCCCTCTCTCCAGCCAGGTGTCGATCAAGTCCTCACCTTCTCTCCAGCCAGGCGTCGATCAGGGCCCCTCCCTCTCTCCAGCCAGGCGTCGATCAAGTCCCCCCCTTCTCTCCAGCCAGGCGTCGATCAGGGCCCCCCCTCCCTCTCTCCAGCCAGGCGTCGATCAGGGCCCCCCCTCCCTCTCTCCAGCCAGGCGTCGATCAGCGCCCCCCTCCCCTCTCCAGCCAGGCGTCGATCAGGGCCCCTCCCTCTCTCCAGCCAGGCGTCGATCAAGTCCCCCCCTTCTCTCCAGCCAGGCGTCGATCAGGGCCCCTCCCTCTCTCCAGCCAGGCGTCGATCAGGGCCCCCCTCCCCTCTCCAGCCAGGCGTCGATCAGGGCCCTCCCTCCTCTCTCCAGCCAGGCGTCCATCAGGGCCCCTCCCTCTCTCCAGCCAGGCGTCGATCAGGGCCCCCCCTCCTCTCTCCAGCCAGACGTCGGTCAGGGCCCCTCCCTCTCTCCAGCCAGGCGTCGATCAGGGCCCCTCCCTCTCTCCAGCCAGGCGTCGATCAGGGCCCCCCTCCCCTCTCCAGCCAGGCGTCGATCAGGGCCCCCCTCCCCTCTCCAGCCAGGCGTCGATCAGGGCCCTCCCTCCTCTCTCCAGCCAGGCGTCGATCAGGGCCCCTCCCTCTCTCCAGCCAGGCGTCGATCAGGGCCCCCCCTCCTCTCTCCAGCCAGACGTCGGTCAGGGCCCCTCCCTCTCTCCAGCCAGGCGTCGATCAGGGCCCTCCCTCCTCTCTCCAGCCAGCCAGGCGTCGATCAGGGCCCCCCTCCCCTCTCCAGCCAGGCGTCGATCAGGGCCCCCCTCCCCTCTCCAGCCAGGCGTCGATCAGGGCCCTCCCTCCTCTCTCCAGCCAGGCGTCGATCAGGGCCCCTCCCTCTCTCCAGCCAGGCGTCGATCAGGGCCCCCCCTCCTCTCTCCAGCCAGACGTCGGTCAGGGCCCCTCCCTCTCTCCAGCCAGGCGTCGATCAGGGCCCTCCCTCCTCTCTCCAGCCAGACGTCGGTCAGGGCCCCTCCCTCTCTCCAGCCAGGCATCAATGCCGTTCAAGGGGTCTGGACCAACAAGCCCTGGTGGAGAACAATCCCCACAGAGAAACTCCGTGTGACCCTGCCCCACAGATAACACGGAAAGGGACTTTTCATGGTCAGAACCTACTGATCTAGAAGTGATCAAACACTCTCTTCTCCTGACTTCCTGTCACCAGGCACGGGTGAGGAGGAACACCAGCAATTTCTTACTAATTACGGCTCAAGCACCAATGTTTGTCCACCGTTTTCTTCTCACACAGATCTAAGAGGATCAAGATGATTCCCAGAGTAACATCTGTCTCATTTGAATTCCAGTGTGCTTCCCCGAGTGGCACAGCCGAGCTAGTCTTGGGCTCTGGAACAGTCCAAAGACTGGGGACTCCCCTGTAACATGCAGCCACCTAAGAGAACAGGTCAGTGACAAGTAGGGGGAAAAGCTATTAGGAAAAAGAACAAGTTGTGGGCCTAAAAACAAGATGTTTCTTATACAAATACAAAATACTAGAAAATTGCACAGCAGTTGCCAGAAAAGATCCCAAGTTGTGGAAAGTAGAAAGGCAGGTGCATCCCAGCACTGCGGCCGGGGGCAGGAGGCCACCCGCGGGGCATTCGGACCCCCGTGCCCCAAACACATCCCGCCGAGCCTCCTGGGACCAGGCCCCTGAGAGCCACGGGGCTGTCTGGAGAGTGTCCCCAGCCTCAGCCATGTGGGGTAGAATAAAAATGATTAAGAACTGCTTGAGAAGTTTTAAACTGCATGCAGCCTACTCAGCACAGATTGGCCCGTGTCTTCTGCCACGGATCTCGGCTAAAGGAAAAGCCAACAGAAGCCCACCGGAGCCTCCCTTACCTCCACCCAACACTGCACATCAAGCCGTGCAACCCTGCCCCAAACGGTCCCAGGGTCATGGGTGTGCATACATGTGCATGTGTGCAAGCATGTCACAAGAGGAGACCTCCGAGGAACATAAGGATGCGGACTCCTCCCTCAGCCTGAACCTCTGTCTCTCAGGCACAGCTCGACCTTTGACCTTCGGCTTCCCCAGAGAAAGACTTTGAACGCTTCACTCCTCTGTAGCCCTGAGGACGCGGGCGGCCAGACCAGTCCCTGAGTGCGGCACCATGGCCGTGTGAGTTTATGGCCCATTGCGCTAGCCCTGTACAGTGAATGAGATACTAGTTGTTTACAGCTGTGAGCATACACAGGCCCCCCGCCACACGCTCAGGAAGGAGCTTCTCGGAATCTCTCTCCTGCCTCGCACCATGCAGCCGGGCTAGCAGGTTTGTGGGCCGAGTGCAGGAGCCTGCTCCCACTGTCACTGCAGGTGACTGGCTGAGGGGCACACAGGGCCCAGAGGCTCCTACCTCCAGCCACCGCCCCTAAACTAATGAAGATTCCAGTCCGTGGGGCCCACCGCAAATCCCAGAATCTCAGCAGTCAGTCTTGGACATTAGTTGTCGGGGAGGGAGAGGATCTGGGAGGCCAGGCGTCCCTTCCAGGCTGCGCAGCCGGCCACGGCGGCAGAGCTTCCCCAGGCTGCTCCAGCCTTCAGGGCCCCTCCGCGGTCAGCCCCACCCCCGGCCAGCAAGGCTTCCTGAGAAGGCTGAGCTTGGCACCTACAGACTGGGGGGGATCTGGAATTCCCCAGAAAAGCCCTCATCCCAAAGCCCATGGGAAAACCAGCCCTGTTGGAGCATCCCACCCGGACCTCGGAGGAGAGTCCGGCATGGCCAGTCCCCTGGGCTCTGCATGCAGATGGTTTTCCCAGAACCGGTTCCTCTTCCTGAATCTCTGCTAATGGCCCTGTCCATCAGTCTGACCCCAGCCTTGGAAACCCCCATGCAGCCTGGGCCAGAATGAAGTAGGCAACCAGAGGCTCAGGGTGCTTGGGGCCGAACCACCCCCAGCTCCACCACCTCCTTCCTGCCCCCGAGCCGTGCCTTCCCCCGCTGGGTGGGCTTGCTCTGCATCTGGGAGCACCTGGGCCCGGGGGTGCAGGTGGGTTCGCCCCTGCCCATTGGAGGGAAATGTTCTGACATGGAAGCAGAGGGCACAGCATTCAGGAGAACCAGTGGGGCCTCCACACAGGGGGACGCAGCTAGGAAGGGGGTCTCCGGCCGGTCGGCCCCGAGTGAGGGACGCAGCTAGGAAGGGGGTCTCCGGCAGGTCGGCCCCAGCCCTGACTCCAGGCCTGTGCATCTCACTGCTGCCCAAAGCAAGGACCACTGGCTGCCATGACAGCTGCCACAGTGCTGAGCAGGCCCAGCCAACGCTGCATGAGAAAGGGCTCTAGGAAGGAAAAGGCCGCGGCAGCACCCAGCCTCCTTTCTGAGGAAGCGATTCCACGAGCCACAAAAGCGCCTGGGCTGTGGTCATCAGAGTCCACCACAAGACAACCTTCCTGGGTCCCTACACCCTGGACACACCTTCGGTGCGTGCCCGGCATGGAGACGCTCCTGCTGCCGGCATGGCTTTGGGGACAGCACTTTGCTCCTGGAGCCTCAGAGGAGGGGGGCCGGAAACATGTGTCCTGCACAGTCACCACCGGACGCCGAGGTGGCCGCCCCAGCAGGGGCCATGGGCTGAGGCTGGTCCTCAGGCTCCCAGAGCAATGGCTGCTCTGGGGAAGAGAAAACACAGAAGTGACAAGATCAAGGCAAACTAGCTGCTCCAGCACCTCGAGGGTTTGGAACCAAAACAAGAAATCTCCAGAGCTGAAAAGAAGAGTGAAACCTTTTCCTTCAGAAGGAACACAGCTAAAGAGAAGATTTAGGGGTGCACGCAAGGGCCCTCAGGTACTCTGTGCAGCCCCTCAAAGCAGGGAAAAGGCCAGGAATGAAACCTAACGCAGAAATGGGAACTGGCTCCAACGCCACACGAACAGCCAGCCTGGGTCTATCGCGCCCAGTTCAGACCCGGGCTGCAGCTTGGAGACGATGACGTCCAAAAACCAAGCTCCAGGAAGACACAACAACAATCACCCTTAGGCTTTGTCAGGCATCCCAGAGAATCCTCCGTCCTACCCTGGGCACGCCATGCGCACCAGGCAGGGAGGGTGGCTCTCAGCAAGGGGCTGAGGACTCTGGCCCATCCTGGGGCGAGGGAGGCACCCACGGGGTGGGCCATGCGGGGCTGGGAGCCACGGCCCCCATGCAGGTCCTAAGTGGACATCTGTCTGGTCGGTGGTCAGAAAAAGGATCCCCACGGTGTCTAGGAAAGACTCAGACCTCTTACCAACCTCTGGAATTTTATCCTATGGGCAGTCAGGGCCAAGACAGATGATTCTTTACAGGTTGGAAATTATTCGGATAACATAAAAGAAACAATGTAAAGAGGAAAGAACAGGTGCAGGAGTCGTTCCTCGATCAATTCCAGGTCAAGGCACCGGTTTCGGTCCCCAGTGCGGCTCCTGTCTCCTGACCCAGCCCCCCGGCCCAGCCCCCAGAAGCCCGGCACGGTGTCTCTCGGGACCCAGGACACGCAGGTCAGCGCTGCAGCCGTTACTGGCTGTGTTGTGATACCAGCAGGGCACTGACTGTCCCCAGAAGGAACAAAACTGAGACTTAAATTTGGGTGATTGTTCCAAATGTGGGATTCAAGCTTATTTGAAAACGAAAACTAAGAATGCCAAATTTCAGGGTGGCTAGAGCTACAGCCCCAGGAATCCAGCCCTGTCTGCAGAAACACACCTAATATTTTCAGACACTCATAGAACAAGGAACTACTATTTTTGAGAAAATACTCACAGAAAAACAAAATCTCCCAGACACTCTGATGCCGTTTGACCAATAACCCATGGGGAAACTCACTTCCGGGGATCCAGGCCCGACGAGGGCGTTCCCGGGCACCTCGGTGACTCTGAAACTCATATCTACAGCAAAGCTTGAACGTTTGTAACTGTTCACTTTGGACTCTGCGTCACACCCAGAGAGACCCTGAACCATCTGTCACAGGTGACGTAACCCTCAGTTCCCCTTCACCTGTGCCAGAGCCTCCCAGACACAAAGGCTGGAGCCCCAAAACCTGTCAGGGGCCTCTCAGGGGCCAGCCACAACTCACTCCGCCTGTCACTGCTGGACGCCCGCTGCGGCCTGACGGAGCCGCTCCTTCACCTGTCCACATGCATTTCCCACACAGCACATTGTCTTGAATGAAGGCAAGTTATTTTCTTTCTCGGCCTTGGCGTCCTCCACAGCCGACACTGTTCTTGCAATCTGTGAAGGGATGATTTCTAAGCTCCGCCTTTGTTCTTCACTCACTCACCCACCGTATACATAGTTGCACATTGATGCATAATAGACATATACTTGCTGCTACGGAAGGCCTTGTATTCCTGTCTCTCTTCCTACCACAGCACTCCTGCCATCCCACAGGTAATCCAATTAGCAGGCTGTGTGGGTCTTATCCCTGATCTGCGCACACTCATCTGATCTGTGTTTATCATTCTTCTAGGGGGTGGTGTTGGGCGCTCTCATTTTGCTTCTTTTGAATCTTATGCCGTGGAACTTCCTGCGAGTCATGTGGTTTGGCCTGGGCTTAATATGTTCCTTGAAAGCCACAGAGCAGCCCACATGTGGATGCACATGACATAATCACCGTTTCAGTTGGCGATTACTCATTGGGCTGTTCTTGCATTGCTATAAAGAAACACCTGAGACTGGGTAATTCAAAATAAACGAGGTTTATTGGTCACGGTGCTGCAAGCCGTACAGGAAGTATGGAGGCATCTGCTTCTGGGGAGGCCTCGGGAAGCTTCCAGTCATGGCAGAAGGTGAAGGGGGAGCAGGTGTCTCACACGGCGAGAGCGGGGGCAAGAGCGCGAGGTGGGAGGTGTGCCACCGGATCTCACGAGAACTCACTCACTATCGTGAGAACAGCACCAAGGGGATAGCGCTGAGCTGTTCATATAAATCCACCCTCAAGATCCAGTCGCTTCCCACCAGGCCCCACTTCCAACGACGGGGTGACAGTTCGACAGGAGATTGGTGGGGAGACCCCAACTCCTCAACATTGCTTCTACTGTTTGCTATTTGCTCACTCAGCCACTGGCCACAGGTGCTGCTGCAGTAGACACGTCTGTTCATCGCCTTCACCTATGGTTCAAAGCTAGAAGCTCTGGTTGCACGGCAAGCCCCTCCTTTCCTGCGTGAACACAGACCCCTGCTCTGACCCGCGGCTGCGTAAGACGAGACGCGCTCAGTGAGCTGCCTCCCCGACCCCCACCACAGTTCCACAACGGCTGTCCAACCTCGCACCCTCCAGAGGTACCGGCACCTGCTGCCCAACCTCGCACCCTCCAGAGGTACCGGCACCTGCTGCCCAACCTCGCACCCTCCAGAGGTACCGGCACCTGCTGCCCAACCTCGCACCCTCCAGAGGTACCGGCACCTGCTGCCCAACCTCGCACCCTCCAGAGGTACCGGCACCTGCTGCCCAACCTCGCACCCTCCAGAGGTACCGGCACCTGCTGTCCAACCTCGCACCCTCCAGAGGTACCGGCACCTGCTGTCCAACCTCGCACCCTCCAGAGGTACCGGCACCTGCTGTCCAACCTCGCACCCTCCAGAGGTACCGGCACCTGCTGTCCAACCTCGCACCCTCCAGAGGTACCGGCACCTGCGGGGCATGACACCACATCCCCACGGGACCCCGTGTGGCCCCTTCTGTCAACCCATCGGCCAGAGGCCCATCCACACGTCCCACTGGCCCCTCCAGCTAACTTATCTGGGCCCCTCAAAGGCCAGGCCGTGCATCTCATAACACCAGCCCAACCCAAATGATTCCTTCCCTTCCTGAGACCTCACTCTCTCTTCAGGGGCAAGTTCAAAGCTACCCCTCCCAGACCCCCTCCAAGATGACAGCCAAAACCAAAGCCACCTCTCTCTTCAGGAGCAAGTTGAAAGCCATCCCTCCCAGACACCCAGATGACAGCCAAAACCAAAAACAAAAGCCACCTCTCCAGAGTGTGAGCTCTCCCGGATCTCAACACCCTCCTACTTATTAAAGTGTAGCTCTTTTTCAAATTATATATTTGCTTACATAGAAGTCCAGTTCATTACAGACGAACAGATAGCTTCAAATTCTGCTAGAATAATACCTCCCATCTATGAAGATCTGAGCGGGGGAAGTGCCTGGTGCATCTAAGTCCCATTAATCTCTGCAAAAGAAGGCCTTGGCCTCCACTTTCACAAACCAAGAAACCAAGGCAGAGAGAGGTTAGGGGTCATCTAAAATCAAAGAATTGTCAAGAAACGTGGCCAGCACGCAGTCTCGGGTGTCTGATTCCAAGTGGGTTCGCTACGTCCACGTCTCCCCCGAGGGCCCCCAGGAGCTCTCCTCCTCACCAAGCCCCTCCCACCATCGCTCAGCAGCCTTCACTTTCAAAACCTTAGCAGCCATCACTTTGCTTGTGGCTGTTTCCAGCCAATACGTCCACCTCCTTTCTAAACACACACACGTCTATGTTTAAAACATGACGCGCCACCTGCAAACACGGTGCCACAGCCTCAGGGAGACGCCGCTCATCCACTCTGCGCCTGCGCGGTTCACACGCTCCTTAGCTCCAAATGCCTCATTTGCTTCCATTAGCTCCAAAGAAGCAAGTCAAAGTGTTTTCCACCAATGCCAGATTCCCTTCCAGGAATGACGCCCCCAGGGCTGCCTCCGGGGTCCACACTCTGCCCACCAGTCCAGCACCCTGGCTGAGTCCACCTGCCAGGCACCATTTGCTCACACACCTGAAGGCTGGATGGGTGGCTGTGGCCCTGCTTAAAGGATCACCTCTGCATCTCCAAACTGTCTTCCCAGCACACCCTGTGTCTTGGGCCTCCCAGGCCACTGTCCACCCACACAGACCAGCAGCCCCTTCCTTCCTTCCCTGCCTGAACACTGCCTGCCTCGTGTCCCTAAGGTCACCAACAAGTCTCTCTGTTCTCCAGCCCTCCATGATTCCCCCCATTCCAATCCAAGATCACAGAGAAGAAACAGCTCTCCAAACTGACAGGCAGGCTGCAGTGGTGAGCACCTGTGTCCCAGCTACTCAGGAAGTTGAAGCAGGAAGATCCCTTGAGTCCTGGAGTTGGAGAGTTGGAGACCAGCCTGGGCAACACAGTGAGGCCCAGTCTCAAAGAAAAAAAAATTAATGGACAATACTAAGTGGTGAGGAGAAGAACTCGGATCCCAGGAGCCCGTGGAGCTGGGGTGCTTGGGCCCAGATAAATCCGTGGGTCTCCCTTTCTCCACCTCAGTGCCGTGGAGTTTCCAGAGTTTAGATAAAATGAGATAATACATGGAAACGACGCCCTTAGCATCTGCATCCAGCCTCCACACCCACACACGCACAAGAAACCCACTCCCCTTTCCAGGCAAGGCCCGGGCCCCAGGCTGAACCTGCCCCTGCCGGAGCCCCTGCTGTTTCCCAGGTGCAGCCAGGCCCTGCACCTTCGTCCTCAGGGGTTAAAAATAGCACAGGCAGCTTAGCTGAGCTCGGTTAATAAAATATCCAAGTTAATTTTAGCATTAGGGGAATCTAGGATCTCTGATGCCAAGGCCCATGTGTGGCCACACAGCCCCTCCTTACACTGTCAGACAGACACGGGGAAAGCCACGGCGTGGCCAGTATCCCTCCCTCACCTTCACAAAACACTTCTCTTACCTGAGTGAGCCCTAGCCCTCTGAAGACACTGTTGCTACTTTCTCTTATTAAACAGACCATCACCTAATTTGATGCCTGTAACAGCCCTGTGACCAGCGGCCTCCACCTCCCGTGAGGGAGTCCATCAGGCTGAGAGTGTCAGCTGCCACTTCTAGCAGAGCTGGGCCCGGAGCCCTTACCTTCTAGCCCAGGAGCTGGGGCCAGGGAGGCACAGTCCAGGGGACCCTCCAGGCACCCCACTTGTCATTCTCCCTATTCTCACCCGGTGCCACCTCCTCCTGCTTCAGGTGGGATTCTGTTTGTGATCAGGAGAGGGATAGCTGGGGCTGGAGGCCGGCAGCCCCTGGCCCTCACTGCCCCACAGGCCTGCAGGCACCAGCGGTTCAATGTTGGGCCAGACCGGCCGTGGGTCTTCTTCACGGACAAGCTCCAGCCTCACAGGAAGGGAGCAAGAGCCCAGCGGAGCCACAGGCACTGAGCCCAGAGGAGAAAGAAGGGAGCGACCAGAGAGCCACAGGAAGCCCCAGCGGGGAGCCCACGGCAGGCCCGGCCTCCCACGGACGGCATTCCCGGACGCTGACCGCCTCCAGCTCGACGGCAGGGTCACCGCGGTGCGAGAGCCTTTCCCGCCCTGGACCGCGGGGCTGGCTTTTTTTTTTTCTGTAACAGATTGAGAGAAACACCTTGTGTGTTGCTCTTTATTGAACACATGTATCAAGATAAGGCGCCACATTTAAAAACAAGCAGTAAGTATTGTGGAAACGGAAGACATCACTGCGAGGGGAGGAGGCACTGCACGCCTTGGGGGCGGGGGCCCCAAAACAACGCCGTGGCCGTGGCGGAAGTGCCCTCCCTGTGGGTCCCTGACTCATGGAAAGTCCGAAGCACAGGCTTCCTCAAAGCAGCGATCGCATAGGAAGTGTGGCTCAGTCATGCATGATACACAGACTCTACTGTGAAAGGTTAATGACTGTTTCAAAAGACACAGTGTTTAAGATGTTTAAGTGCACAGAAGGACATATCCAAAATGATTCCACAAAACTGAAATGCAGAAAGCCAGATTCTTCAAGACAAAGACTCCAAATTGTTACCACCAAAGCACCTCACTTCTACGTGGCGCTCTCCTCTTATTACCTCACCTGCAAGAGCTGGAAGGACAAAGAAAGAGGAAGGGGGAAAGGAGGAAGAGATTCTTTCCATTTTTCCCAATGTCAACGTCTGAATGAGGCCACACACCACCACACATTTCAAAGCTATTTAAGAATTTAAATGGCCAATGCCCCTATACCTTAAAAAAAGCTCCCAATCCCCCCAGAAATGTGCTGGCTTTTTTTCTTAGTAAGAGTAGTAGCAGAATTGCTTATGGTATAACTTTAGGGACAATTCTTGTTCTGGGAGTGAGGGGGCAGGGTGTTAACTTAACCCTGAACAACACTGCCTTGTACGTTCCCACCGGATGTAGTAGACAATAATTGCCTGGCTTTTGCAAACGGAAAAATGAGGTTATGAAGGGGAAGACACGGGCCCTGGGTCATGCAGCAAGTCACTGGCAGACTCATGGGCAAATCCAGCGCTCCTGGAGACAAGGCTCAGAGGTGAATGACAGCGAGGGGCCCTCAAATCAACCACAGGGGCACCATCTTGTCTGAGCCTTCAAGACCAGGGACTCAGGCAGGGCAAGTCAGAGCCAAGGTTGGCCATGAATGTGGATTAAAGAAAGAGCCTGAGGGGCTCAGTGGCCCCCTGGCACCAGCGCCGCTCAGGGTCATCCTCCACTTCGCTTCTACAGATGGGCTTTCTGCTGGAGCCCCGGGGTATCAGGCCAGCAGCACAGTTACATGAGACTAACCCCAAACCAGCGCACCCACAGGTCACCCTCAGGGTCTCCAGCCCAGACTGCATCTCTGCTCAAATGCAGGAGGTGCCCTGTCTCCCCAGCTACTTGGGGCACAGATACCCCTCAGGCAGCCAGCCCTGCAGGTGACCTCTGGAGGGGAGAGGAAACGGGGACTTCTTGCTGGAGCCACATCCAGAGAGTCGGGCAGCTGGCATTTGGGCCTCTCTACCCGTCCTCACTGCTGCTGCCCCTGGGAGGGTCAAAGGTTCAGATGATATCCAGGCCCCACGTGGGATTAGCAGCCTAAGCCTCAGCTGAGCCAGGGTTTCACTGGCTTGTTTAAAGTGGAGCACAGAGCCTGACCAAGTTGTGGCATCTCCAAACCTCCTTCTCTCCGAGGGATCCTCCAGGGTGCCTGACCCCCACGCCTGTCGGAAGTGGGGCCGAGTGCCCGCAGGCCGGTGAAGCTGCCTTCTGGGAGACTCAGGGTCTGAGTATCTGGTCTGAGACTCTGGTCTTCCCTCGCCCTCCTGTTCTACTTCCCATGCCTTCTGTAAAGTCCTGCCGTGGCCTGAAGTGTAGCCCTTCCTGGAGTACACAGCGAGCATGCTGTGCCGGCTGTGGGCCCCCCACCCCCGAGCCGCAAAGCCCCAGGCCGCCTCTGCCTGCTGCCTGGAGACCTGGCACTGCCCCACAGGGGCACCCACCTCCAGCCCTCCTGCCCCCGTGACTGAGGAAGCCCAGTGCTTCTCACACTCCTCAGACTCGCTGGCTGAGCCAAGCAGCCTTGGCTGAAGGAAAGAGCAGCAAACTGACCCCCACGGGCCGCGACCTTTCCCCACCCAGGCAAGGCGACCTCAGGCACTTCAGGGAGCGCCAGCTCTGGCTTTCTTGTATGAAAGTGACAGCGGATTTAAACCACATTAACAAAAGAAATCCCTCCTCTCTGGACTACTCAAAGCGGAAGTGCTGCCACATCCTAGCTGCAGCGCTTCTGGGCCAAATATCAAGACAGTGTCTCAGCGATGATCCGCAAACCAAAATAAAGCCGACAGGAAACAGCCCGCTGGTTTAGGGGAGCTGGAATGCCTCCGGCAGCATCAAATGTCATCAACAACTGACACTCAGCCCGTTCCCGGAGGCCTCTTCACACGGGAAGAGGCCGGCTGCGAAGTGCGGCTCAGTGGGGGAGAAGGACCGTGGGGACCGCGACACTGCAGGCCCTGGAAGCCTCTCCAGCCTGAACCGCGCTGTGGTCCAGCACACTCATGGCATGAATATGGAACAGTCACTCCAGGAAACGGTCTTGCTCTGGGGGAGGGGGAGGACTTCCACATCACTCTCCCAAGATAAAACAACCAGGGAAAAGCAGATCCCTCCAGATAAACCAGAAGTCCAGACACAGCCTCCTCTCCGGAAACGCCTCCGGGAGCCCACTTCAGAAGCTGCTGAAGCCCAGAGAAAAACCGCAGCCTCGCAGGCCCTGGTCGCCACCAGCTCGCCCGCCACTTCTCAGTGGAAAGGGACGTGGTGCCGATGGGTCCGGGGTCTCCCCGCCCCGCGGGAGCCCTCAGCCAGAACGCCCCACCAGCACACACGCACACATGCACACACACAAACGCGCGCACACACACGCGCCCACACACAAATACACACGCGCGCACACATGCATCCACACACAAATACGCACCCACACATGCACCCACAAACGCACGCGCACACACACCGCCCACACATGGACACACAAACACAAGCACACACAAACACGCGCGCACGCAGGCACAGACGCGCGCGCACAGCAGCAGCAGCGCGCCGGGGCCTCACGCCCCTGGGGAGAAGCGTGAAGGAGCCTCCACATTCCCCGGAAAGGAAGTTTCTGGGCGCAGCGGAGAAAGGGAGATGCCGAGACCCCGACGTCAGTGGATTTGACACCTGAAGTGCAGGCGCCCAGACAGCCTCAGGCGCGCGCACTCCTGCAAACACGCGGGGCACACGCTCGGGCGCACACGCGGACAGACGTCCCTCGGCGCAGGGACCCCACCTCCTCCGCCGCTACCAGGGACCGGGGCCGCTCCGGGCGCAGAGGAGGCGCAGGGAGCCGCGTTACCCCGGAGCCGACTCGACCCAGCCCGAGGCCCGGGGAGGCGGGGAGGTGGGGAGGGGCCGCGGAGCCGGACCAGCCGTTCTCCGGGGAGCGCGCCGCGCCTGGAGGGCGTCTCCGCCGGGGTCCCCAGCAAGGATCTGCGGAGGGGAGGCGGGCGCGGGAGAGGACAGGGTCGGGCCGGGGGGTCGGACGCGTGGCTGCCGGCGGACACTCACCGATCTTGATCTTCACGCTCTGGAAGACCCGGAGCCCCTCGTCCTCCACCGCCATGCTGCGCGTCCGCGCCCGCCGAGCCTCGCCCCAAGCGCGCGCCGAGCCCGGGCAGCTCAGGCCGAGCAGGAGGAGCGGCGGCGCCGGAGCCCCGAGCGCGGCCGAGGGTCCGCCCGCCTGCAAGACCGCCAGTTGGCCGAGGGCGAGGGCGGGGACCGGGAGGCTCCGCCCGCGGCCCGGCCCCTGCTCCCAACTGGCCCGGGCCCTGCAGGGGCGGGGTTGGCAGGGACGGCGCTGGCGGGTGGCGGAGACCCGGGGGGCGCAGGGATCGGCTTCCCCCGAGGCCTCGGCCCCCGCCCCCGCCCCGCGGATTGGCCGCTGAGCGGAAGGGACCCCAGCGGGCTGCCTGGCGGAAGAGACGAAGGAAGGTCGCCGGCGCGGCCCGGGCCCGCTGAGCGAGGCTGAGCGATTGACTCGCGGACGAACTTTGCCAAGAGAAGTTCACGTACAACGATCTGGCAGGGGAGGAATCCCGCGCCCAGCCCCAGCTCCTGAGATGCGATCCGAAGGCACCTGCTGCAGACGCACGAGGGGGGCGGGGACACATACACGCACACACAGCCCCCCACCCCAGACCTCCGGCATGGGCAGGTCCCCCCCCCAAGTCCCCCTGCAGACCCCAGCATGGGCAGGTCTCCCCCCCCCCAGTCCCCCTGCAGACCCCGGCATGGGCAGGTCTCCCCCCCCCAGTCCCCCTGCAGACCCCGGCATGGGCAGGTCTCCCCCCCCAGTCCCCCTGCAGACCCCGGCATGGGCAGGTCCCCCCCAGTCCCCCTGCAGACCCCGGCATGGGCAGGTCCCCCCCCAGTCCCCCTGCAGACCCCGGCACGGGCAGGTCCCCCCCCAGTCCCCCTGCAGACCCCGGCACCGGCAGGTCTCCCCCACCCAGTCCCCCTGCAGACCCCAGCATGAGCAGGTCCCCCCCCAGTCCCCCTGCAGACCCCAGCATGAGCAGGTCCCCCCCCCAAGTCCCCCTGCAGACCCCAGCATGGGCAGGTCCCCCCCCAGTCCCCTGCAGACCCCGGCATGGGCAGGTCCCCCCCCAGTCCCCCTGCAGACCCCGGCATGGGCAGGTCCCCCCCCCAAGTCCCCCTGCAGACCCCGGCATGGGCAGGTCCCCCCCCAGTTCCCCTGCAGACCCCGGCATGGGCAGGTCCCCCCCCAGTCCCCCTGCAGACCCCGGCATGAGCAGGTCCCCCCCCAGTCCCCCTGCAGACCCCGGCATGAGCAGGTCCCCCCCCCAAGTCCCCCTGCAGACCCCGGCATGGGCAGGTCCCCCCCCAAGTCCCCTTGCAGACCCCAGCATGGGCAGGTCCCCCCCCAAGTCCCCCTGCAGACCCCGGCATGGGCAGGTCCCCCCCCAGTCCCCCTGCAGACCCCAGCATGGGCAGGTACCACCCTTACCTCCCTTTCTTCTGTCTCGAGGTCTCCTCCTCCCTGACCTCCTCTCTGAGGAGTATGTTTGTGTGTGTGTATGAACTGTAGGTGTGTATATGAACTGAGACTACACTCCCTCCTCTATGTTGCAAAACTTCATTGCACCCAGTGCCACACACACACCCTACACATATATACACACATACATATACCACACATACACTACATATACATATACATACACATAGACACCACACACAGACACCACACACATACTACACACGTGTACACACATACATATACACACATATACACACACCCTACATACACACACCACATATACACATGAACACATATGTTCATATACACACAACACAGACAGCACACACATATACTACCCATACACATGCACAGACATACACACTAAACATACATACACACACCTACGTGAACATACACAAACACACACACACTGCATGGAGAGGAACAGGAGCTTCATGAAGATAGAGGCCTATTTTTTTCCACTGCTTACCTTCACTTCCTAAAAAGCAGTTCCATGCGTTGAAAGAATGAATGGCCTTTCTTCCCCTGACTGCTGGGAGCCTGCAGCCACAGGGGCCTCTCTCATCCTCAGCCCTTGCAAGCCTGGTGCTCACTGGGGCAGAACAGGAGGTTAAGGCGGCACCCCTGGTTCCAACCCAGAGCCTCTGCGTCTAGCGCTGGCCCTGGGTGGCGTCTGCAGTGGGTGCTGTGGACGCCATCCACACCCCTGCTTTACGACGGAGACTATGCTTCCGTTTGGAGCCACTGGAAGCAAGCCGGCTCCTGTGTTTCTCCGAGGACCAGTGGAGTCCTCTGTGGCAGCCCAGCCACAAAGCTGCTTCTCTGCCATCCCTCCACCCTCACAGGCCTGCTGATAAACTCAACGCGGATCTCGCTTTGGTGTTTGTTTCCAGGCGACAGCTGGGGTCAGGAGTGAATCTCCAGACTGCAGCAGTGGCAGCCAGGACGGGAGCCCCTTGGAAGGAAATGCACTGGCAGCGGCAGGATCTCGGGTGCTGGAGAGTTCGGGAAAGTCACAGATACATGGACTATGGAATCAGGTGGCTCGTGTTGAGGGCAAGATAATGAAAAGATCACCACCTGAAACAAAAGGGTGGCACGCTAACGGGCCTCCTCAGTGCCACATAAGACACTCATCTCCTGTGACCAGAGGAAAACCAAAACACTGGATCAGGGCCAGGACTTAACCGTGTAGAAGGCAGAGCTCCAGAGAAGGCCAGGTGCTTGGCCTCAGAAGGTGTTGTTCCAGGTTCGGGTGCTCGGCCTCGGAAGGTGCTGTTCCAAGCTCTGGACCCTGACTGGGAAGAAGAGAGGCCCTGACTGGGAAGAAGAGAGGCTTGCGATGGGGCCATCTGAATGAATGCACTCAAAAATCTTGAATCCCAGATTCCTCTAAATCTGCTGGGCCTGAAGAGGTGTCACATTTCTGTCTGTTAAGGACAAATGCTGTTTCTGTGCTTGAAGACACTGCAGAGACCTCTGCAAGGCGACACGCCTGCCACCCACCTCCAGCTCAGCTCCTCCAGGTCAGCATCATCAAGCTGGAGAAGTGCTGAGGCTAAAAACTGAGGAAGAGACAGTCGGCCAAGGAGCTTCAGGACCAAAATGCATGCACCAGCATGAGCCAGGGGTAAATGCAGAACTAGATCCAAAGAACGTTGGATTCAGGGGAGGCAGAATGTAGAGTTAGATGTTAGAATTCATTGACATGGGCGCATTCAGTCATGATACAGGGTTTAGCCCCTGGGAGGTGCTCCGTGCTGCTAGGGTGGCGTTTTCAACTCGTAAAGTAAAGCAATGTCCCACATTAAGCAGCTGTCTGTCAGGATTGGAAAAGGCACTCCTGGGGTCCAGGCTCACTGCACCGGCTGGTGGCCCAGGCCCAGACGTCAGCAGGGCTGGAGCAGGGCTTCTCTGGTGCTCCTGCTGGCGGCTGAGGTGCACAGTCACCCTCACCTCCCGGCAAATGAGCACTCCTCTCCCAGTCATGATGGAGAAAACACGCATCTCCCTGACTCACTCCTTAACCCAGCCGCAAACTTCACTGGGTTAGCCTCGGTCCATTTCACTCCTACATCTCGAAACTGTGGTCGTCTTTACGATACCACAAGAACCTGGGGGGCGGACAGTCCCAGAGAAAAAGTTTGTGCTGCACAAATGGATGCTGGGCATGACCAGAGTGCCCCACAGACGGTCGACTCAGACCCCACGTGCATCTCTCCCCAGTCGGTCCCTAAAACCCACCCTCAGTGCTTATCCAGGCACATCGGAGCAAGGTATCTGTATGTGGGGCCCCCAGCCCTCTGAGAGGCACAGGGGCTGAGCATACATCCAGGGCTCCCGCAACAAAACACAGCCCCGCAGAGCTGCCCAAGCACCGGCCTTCTCACATTTGTGTTCTAAATGAAGGATTTGGTCATTCGTTTTCTAAATTAGAAAGTTGTCTCTTAGAGCTGTGATAATATGAGCTGGGAAATAAAATACTGAGAGAAGAAAGGATCAGATGATGACCCAATAGAAAATCTCTATAATTTCTTCTTTCAATGACCTTGGTGTTACACTTTGCTCTCTTTGGATATACTCTTCTGTTCACATATCAACCCATTGACAAGTGGACATTCATTCATTTCCAAAACAGCATTATTAGATCATGTCTGAACAATCTACTTTCAAAGGATTTGAAGCCACATAAATGACCAGTACACAACGGAATAATTTTTGGAGGGTTCAAAGTAAGAACTGAAGGAAGAACGGTGGAATCAGGTATCTGAACCTGAAAGAGCCCATCCTGCCAGGTGCATCCCAAGGGGCTCACTGGGCCTGAATTCAAAATGGAGGCACGCGACCTTTTGCTCACTAGAGGTCACACGCCAGCTCTGCGTTCCCGGAAGTGCTGGAAATTTCACAGCTGTCTGTTCATGCTGCTGGAATCAACCAAGGCCAGAAAATCCCAATTTGCCCTCTGGACCAAACCAATAGACTGCTACCAGGCTCTACCAAACAGAATGAAGCAAGTCTGCCTCCCTTATCTGCATAAAGGCCAGAATGAGATCCTGGGCAGGAATTCCCTTGTGGAAGACAATCGCATGTTTCTTCTCTGGAATGCACCTTTGTTTTGTTCCAAAGGCAGCATCTCCCAGTTTGCAAACTGCTTGCTGGAATAATGTCTCTTTCCCCTTTTTTTTTTTTTTTTTGAGATGGAGTTTCGCTCTTGTTGCCCAGGCTGGAGTGCAATGGCGCAATCTCGGCGCTCACCACAACCTCCGCATCCCAGGTTCAAGCAATTCTCCTGCCTCAGCCTCCCGAGTAGCTGGGATTACAGGCATGCACCACTATGCCTGGCTAATTTTGTATTTTTAGTAGAGACAGGGTTTCTCCATGTTGAGGATGGTCTCGAACTCCTGACTTCAGGTGATCCGCCCGCCTCAGCCTCCCAAAGTACTGGGGTTACAGGCGTGAGCCACCGCGCCCGGCCTGTCTCTTTCCTTTTAAAAGAAATTTTTTTAGTGGATTTGTTGACACATGTAAGGTGAGAACAGCTGAACGTAAAGCTACACACTGAGCTTCCGGATAGCCAAGGTGAAAAGGGAAATATGGAAATATGAATCTTACACAAGTCACATTATCTGATAAAAGGAAGCATGTCAGACTTTCAGGAAAGACAGTACTTTAGCCCACAAGGCAATACAAGAAATTTTTTAGGGAATTCTTTTCAAAAGGAATATTGGACAAGTTAGGGGAGGATGTTTTTAATCTCAAATGACACTCACTACAGGGCCTAGAACATGGTAAATGCTCAATGAATGTTTGTTGAATGAATGTAGTAAAAATATAACATTAAATCATAATTCTCGCATAAAATTTATGTAGGCACTTAGAAGTCAAAGAAAGTAGCTTTCTAGTGACCTGATGAGCTGCGAAAGAACACATTTGGAGAATCTAGAGAGATGAATAAATAGCCACCGAAGAGTCTTTCTCAAACATTAGTTGAGCCACACAACTGAGAGAAGCAGACAGGTCCACTCCAAGATTCCTGTGGATGCCGAGGCCTGGTGGTCTGTGTTGTTGATGGACAGGAGACGCAATGCTGTGCTGGGTTTATCAACTACAGTCGGAGGCTCAGGTGGGCCTTACCACGGAGCATCATGGTCTCGCTCTCATCTTCTTGAAATGCAGAGAGAGAGGAAAGAAGCAGCCTAGACCCCCGAGTCATGAAGCAGACAGCAGTGGGTGTAGACACGGTGGCGGTGGGTGTAGACACGGTGGAGGTGGGTGTAGACACGGTGGAAGTGGGTGTAGACACGGTGGTGGGTGTAGACATGGTGGAGGTGGGTGTAGACACGGTGGAGGTGGGTGTAGACACGGTGGTGGGTGTAGACACGGCGGTGGGTGTAGACACGGTGGAGGTGGGTGTAGACACGGTGGTGGGTGTAGACACGGTGGTGGTGGGTGTAGACACGGTGGAGGTGGGTTTAGACACGGTGGTGGGTGTAGACACGGTGGTGGGTGTAGACACGGTGGAGGTGGGTGTAGACACGGTGGTGGGTGTAGACACGGTGGCGGTGGGTGTAGACACGGTGGAGGTGGGTTTAGACACGGTGGTGGGTGTAGACACGGTGGTGGGTGTAGACACGGTGGAGGTGGGTGTAGACACGGTGGTGGGTGTAGACACGGTGGCGGTGGGTGTAGACGCGGTGGAGGTGGGTGTAGACACGGTGGTGGGTTTAGACACGGTGGTGGGTGTAGACACAGTGGTGGTGGGTGTAGACACGGTGGAGGTGGGTGTAGACACGGCGGTGGGTGTAGACACGGTGGCGGTGGGTGTAGACGCGGTGGAGGTGGGTGTAGACACGGTGGTGGGTTTAGACACGGTGGTGGGTGTAGACACGGCGGTGGTGGGTGTAGACACGGTGGTGGTGGGTGTAGACACGGCGGAGGTGGGTGTAGACACGGCGGAGGTGGGTGTAGACACGGTGGTGGGTGTAGACACAGCGGTGGTGGGTGTAGACACGGCGGAGGTGGGTGTAGACACGGTGGTGGGTGTAGACACAGTGGTGGTGGGTGTAGACACGGTGGAGGTGGGTTTAGACACGGCGGTGGGTGTAGACACGGTGGAGGTGGGTGTAGACATGGAGGTGGGTTTAGACACGGTGGAGGTGGGTGTAGACACGGTGGTGGGTGTAGACACGGTGGCGGTGGGTGTAGACACGGTGGCGGTGGGTGTAGACACGGTGGTGGGTGTAGACACGGTGGTGGTGGGTGTAGACACGGTGGAGGTGGATGTAGACAGGGTGGTGGGTGTAGACAAGGTGGAGTTGGGTGTAGACACGGTGGTGGTGGGTGTAGACACGGTGGTGGTGGGTGTAGACACGGTGGTGGGTGTAGACACGGTGGTGGTGGGTGTAGACACGGTGGAGGTGGATGTAGACAGGGTGGTGGGTGTAGACAAGGTGGAGTTGGGTGTAGACACGGTGGTGGTGGGTGTAGACATGGCGGAGGTGGGTGTAGACACGGTGGAGGTGGGTGTAGACACGGCGGTGGGTGTAGACACGGTGGAGGTGGGTGTAGACATGGTGGTGGGTGTAGACACGGTGGTGGTGGGTGTAGACACGGTGGCGGTGGGTGTAGACACAGTGGAGGTGGTTTTAGACATGGTGGTGGGTGTAGACACGGCGGAGGTGAGTGTAGACACGGCAGAGGTGGGTGTAGACACGGTGGTGGGTGTAGACACGGCGGTGGGTGTAGACATGGTGGAGGTGGGTGTAGACAGGGTGGTGGGTGTAGACACGGTGGAGGTGGGTGTAGACACGGTGGAGGTGGGTGTAGACACGGTGGTGGGTGTAGACACGGTGGCGGTGGGTGTAGACACGGTGGTGGGTGTAGACACGATGGTGGGTGTAGACACGGTGGAGGTGGGTGTAGACACGGTGGTGGGTGTAGACACAGTGGCGGTGGGTGTAGACACGGCGGTGGGTGTAGACATGGTGGAGGTGGGTGTAGACAGGGTGGTGGGTGTAGACACGGTGGAGGTGGGTGTAGACACGGTGGTGGGTGTAGACACGGTGGCGGTGGGTGTAGACACGGTGGCGGTGAGTGTAGACACGGTGGAGGTGGGTGTAGACACGGTGGTGGGTGTAGACACGGTGGAGGTGGGTGTAGACACGGTGGCAGCACCGCACGGAACACTCAAAGCCCACTTTCTGGCTGTGATGGCCGAGGAGAGCTGCCTCCCCTCCGAGTGGCCCATCCTAGGTACCCTTGAGCCTCACAAGCTCAGTTGCCAACCTCCCTGCTTCAGGGAGGGGTGGGGCAGCGGGTGGGACAGGAAATTCACCAGGTTGTGCAGGGCAGGGCAGGAGAGCAGAGGGAGACGCTCACGCCCCCGCCCCCAGGCCCGCAGAAGCCGTGGGTGCTGATGAATGCCCCTCAGCCCACAAATCCCTGGCACCTTGACTGTGACAACGATCGCGGCTGCTTTCATTATACTTAGGAGTTGTGAACCACCGCGTCAATTACTTTTATTTCTTCAAATAGTTTCCTGTGAAGCTAACTCATCTCCCCAGATTGTCTCCCAATTTCTTCGTCTGTAAAATGGGGCTGGCAGCAGTGCCCGCCCGCAGGCCTGTGCCGGGACCAAGCTGCGTGTGCTGTGTGTCCTGTGTCTGGCAGATAAGAAACAGTCGGCTAGAGGTAGCTTTTCTCGTGGTTATTTTTCCCGAGAGCACTGGCAGGCATTTTTCCTCTCTGCCATCCTCCCAGCACTGCACACTGTGTCGGGCCCCTGGTGGATTTGCAGATCTAACTCTTGTACGTACATAAACCACACCAGGACCACAGAAGAGAAGCCGAAGTGTGGGTGCTGTCCCCAGGGAGCCCCCGCAGTCTGCCCAGGCTCAGCCTCCTCCCACCCACAAGGAAGGCTGTGGATTAGGAGAGTGAGGAAAATGCCCTTCAAAATACATGATGCATAAAAAACACAAACGTTCACCGCAGATTTATTTGTAATGGCAGAAAACTGGAGGCAACCTTCAAGCTGTCCTTCAGCAGGTAAAGAGTGAACTGCGTGAAAAGCAGCAAGCGAGCGGGTGCACAGTGTTGCAGGTGAGCCTCAGGGGAACTGGGCTGAGTGAAGGGAGACAGTCTCAAGCTGACAAAGTCACAGCAACGGAAAGCAGAGCAGCGGGTGTCAGCGGTCAGGGGTCAGGGAGGGGCAGGAGGTGGCTGTGGCTGGAAAAGGAGCAGGAGAGATGCTCGTGGGATGGAAATGTCCGGCATCTGCACAGAGATCTGCATACAGGGCACAACTGCCCAGCTCTAGACACACTCACACACACACTCACACACACACACACACGGGACACAACTGCCCAGCTCGTCCCTCACACACACATGCACACACACTCCCTCACACACACACATGGGACACAACTGCCCAAAACTAGACACACTCACATGTGCACACTCCCTCACACACACACGCACACACTACCTCACATGTAAGCACACATGCACACATGCTCACACACACTCCCTCATTCACACACACACTCCCTCACATGCACACACCCTCCCTCACTCACACACGCTAGCGCACACATGCACACACACACTCACTCATACGCGCGCACACACACTCCCTCAATGACACGTGCACACACATGCGCACATACATACTCCCTCCCTCACACACAACCTTACACACAAATTCCCTCACATGCACTCACACACGCACACACACTCCCTCACACATACACATACAAACTCACATGCACACACCCTCCCTCCCTCACAGACACACATGCACACATGCTCACACATGTCCTCACATGCCCACACCCTCCTTCATTCGCACACACACACCCTCCCTCACTCACACATGCAAGCACACACGTGCACATGCTCACACACATCCTCACACACTTCCTCACACACCCTCACCCACATGCACTCACACACATGCACACACACTCCCTCACTCATGCACACATACACAAGCATACTCACGCTCATACATGCTCACACACCCTCCCCTCCCTCACACCCACATGCACACACTCGCACATGCACATATGGTCACACAGTCCCTCACACACACACTCCCAGTCCCTCACACACACAAGCACACACACAGACATGCACACACATTCATGCACTTCCTCCTTCACACACATTCATGCTCCTCACACAAATACACCCACATGCACACATGCACACAGACACACTGGTACACACACACGGACACCCACATGCACACACACACAAGCATACCCACATGCACACATACAGACACTGACACACACATGCGCACCCACATGCACACATACACATAGACACACTGATACTCTCACACACCCACATGCACACAGACACACACACATGCACACCCACATATACACAGACGCACTGACAGACTCACACAGACTCACCCATACACATACACTGACACACACACCCCCATGCTCACACACACACTGACACACACGCTCACACCCAGTGTATGTGCAGCTGGTGCCATCCGCCCTCAGGGCACTTGATCCCATCGGTGACCACTCCTTGCTTTGCAAGATGCTGCTGTTGGGGGAACTGGGCAAAGGGGCTGCTGTTGGGGGAACTGGGCAAAGGGAACAGGCACTCTCCGTGTTATTCCTTACGACTGTGTGTGAATCTGCAATTATCTCAAAAGAGAACCGTTTAAAGCAAGAGGACTATGTGGGAGTGGACACCAGCTCCCTGGCCCTGTCCTGCTCTTGCGGCAGCCCCCACCTGCCCGAGGCCTCCGCTGTGGGAACTGGAACCTCCCTCACAGGAAGGGCGTGACCTCGTGTTTACCAGCCCTGCCCTGAGCGCAGAGCCCTTCGTGGAAATTGGTGCCTTGTTGTCATGAGAGGAAGGTTGAGGCCAGGAGAAACCTCAAGTTCTTGTGGGCATGGTGCTGCCTCGCGGTTTGACTGCAGGAGGCCTTACGGCGGCTCCGAGATGGGTGGCTTGGCCTGGAGCAGGACGAGCCAGGGCGAGGGCAGCTGCTGGGCGCCGTGACCCTGGCTCCTGCTGCAGGCTTTCCTCTGGGCCCCCTGTTCCAGAACCTTCTCCCTCTCAGGCCACCTGTGTCTGTGCCCCTCAGGAAGCAAGCAGGCTTTCTGCAGACCAGGCTCTCTCCACCCTCCAGGAGGCGTGGCTGTCAGGGCAGCTGGCTGGCGCCCCACTGCTCTCCAAGCCAACCAGCACCAGGTGTGAAAGGAGTCAAATGTGTCCCAACGTATAAACAATGTTTATCCCGACTAGACAGGCCACATCCTGATGTTTTACATTCTGTTCTAGCTTCCTAGACTAACCTTGTGTACTCAGCTTCTAAATGAGTGTCGGGCCCCTCAAGTAGATGCCGTGAGCAGCTGCTGTGTGCACGTATGTGTGTGCTTGTATGTGTGAACGACAGTGTGTGAGTGTAAGTGAGGGAGTGTGTGTGTGTGAGGACGTGTGAGAGCATGTGCGCATGTGCCGAAGGTGCCAGCTCAGGACAACCAAGCATTACGTGTTCAGGAATTTTGCAAGCTGGTTGTTAAACAGAGCCATTACTAAAAATTCAATTCGATGGGCTTATAGAGTTTATAAAATTGCACGAACCCATGCTCTGGGGTCGCTGACATCTGTTCTATGGAGGAAATACAGTCACGCACCACATGACAATGTTTTGATATGGAGGAAATACAGCCACGCACCATATAACAATGTTTTGATATGGAGGAAATACAGCCACGCACCATATAACAATGTTTTGATATGGAGGAAATACAGCCACGCACCATATAACAATGTTTTGGTCAAGCAGGGTGGTCCCACAGGATTGTAGCACCAGATTCTTACTGTCCTCTCCCGGGTTAGTTGTGTTTGGACGCACATACACCACTGTGTGGCAGTCGCCTGTGGCATTCGGTACAGGAGCCTGCACACAGGTCTGTGGCGGAGGAGCGCTGGCTGTACCTTGCAGCCCAGGCCTACAGGGGGCCCGGCCATCCAGGCGTGTGTAAGTCACTGTGAGGCCCGCACAGAGAAATCGCCCAGCCATGTATTTCTCAGAGTGCATCCCTGTCACAAAGCCACGGTGAGTGTGAACGCAGGGAGCGCTGCCTGTACCTCCTCCCACCTGGGAGTGTCTCATGCCCTCCCCCAACCCCGTTTTTTCCTGAGTCATTTGTTAAACCTTGGCCTCGCTTGTGACTGGCAGTTTGAAATGCCCTATTCAAGTCAACTCCCCTCCCTGGCCCACGCCACCTTCGTGTTTCCTGTGAAGAGGCTGAAGGGAGGCCATGGGGGCCCAACGTGTGACCAGTGGGTACTCAGCTGGGAGTGGTGCACATTCCAACTCAGGGTCCAGAGCTGTCACCCCACAAGGTCCTGCCTCTCGACTCATGCCCACCCCAGAGGTAAGGACCGTCTGCCCACAGCCTGGGCTTCCAGGCGCTGCAGCTGGGAACTGTCACCCCACCTGGAATGGTCCCCTGAGATGTGGCTCTGTCAAGGGCTGGGGACAGGTTCTGGCTCCGGGCACGTGGACTCTCGCCCACCCAGGTCCAGGACCCAAGGCACAGAGGCTGGGCTGATTCCTGGGGGCCTCGCTGTGCCCTTCCTGCACAGCCCCTGGGGGATTTGCAGGGTGTGGGGTCTTTGTGGGGCCTTGTCCTTCAGAGCTTCCTATTTGCCCCTTTCAAATTGGTTGAAGAAACCTTGGGGAGTCAGGAGAGAGCCGAGAATCAGGACTGAGTGAGAACAGCGAGCTGCCCTCCAAGGCCGCCTCTGACTGGGGAGGCTTCCGCGTGGCTGTGCAGTCACTGGGCTGATGAGGCTTTCCGCCCTTACAACACAGGTTCAACTACAACACCTCAAACTCAACCCCAACAGCTATGAAAGCAGCATCGGGGAATTGGAACGAAATCACTCCCGATCCCACCTCTGCTACATCCGAGCCATGTCTGTTCCTGCATTCATTTCCTGCAATTTTACTCCCCAGCATTCGTGTTTTCATGTGGTTCTAACTAAGGCCCTAGAGGCTACAGCCCCACGCCGTCCTTGCAGAAGCTGTAGCTCATCTCCTTCGCTATTTTAATTGAATGGGCACCAAGCGTTTGCCCTGGACCACCTGTGAAAGGCACCGAGGGAGAAGCCATGGGCTCAAGACCCCCCAGCCAGGGCTCGCCTTAGGACCCTTTACATATTTGAAGGGAGGCCAGGAAGGTGCAGCCACAGTTTCATTCTCTTATCACTCTGCCTGCATTTTTCAGGTTTCAATAAGAGCAGATATAATTAGAGGGGCTCTGTTCCTCCTGGAGAAAGAACACTGCAAATTACAGGGTATCTCTAATGAGCCATGGACCGGAAGACAGCATCACTGACCCCTCATCATCTCAGGCTCTCCTCTTGCCACTCCCACCATGACTGGCTGGATGACCAAGCAGGGGCCTGAGTGTTCAGCTACAAAGACAAGCAGCTCCATGCAGCCTTCAGAGAGGAAGAGAGGCAGGTGGCTAGAGAGCCCCCTGTGACAGATGGGCTGGTCCGGGCAGGAGGAAGGAGGGCAGGGGCTGGAGAGTCCCTGGGGACCAATGGGGCTTCTTGGCCTAAATGCCACGGGTGGGAGCTGGGGCAGCAGGGGTTTGTGAGGCACTCACCTGGATTATCTGTCATTGTTGTAGCTCATACAGTCCAAGGACCTCAGACTATAAATGTGTGGTGGTGAATTAACTACCTGTTGTGATGTTATCCTGGTCCTGTGAAGATTTACAAGGAGCCATGTCACTTCTCTGCCAAAACCCTGGACTGTCCTCCTGTCCCCCTTGGCACAAATCACAAAGCGCCATCGTGCACACAGGAGCCCGGGGGCTCAGGCGTCACCCAGCAGCTCCAGGCCTCCTGGCTCCAACCCTCTGCCTTCTTGCTTTCCCTTCAGCAGAACGGGTCTCTCCCTTCCCGGGGCCTTTGCACATTCCCCCTGTAGGAATGCTCTGTCTTGCTCTCTGCAGGAATTCCCTCTGCAGCAATGCTCTGTCCCCAGGGATCTGTGTGTTGCTTCTCTCTGAGGACACCTGCGAGCGAGATTTCCTCGACTACACAACGTCAAATAACTGGCCCTTACCTGCATCTGCCCTGCTTTATTTTCCTGAGTAACACGCACGTAACACGCGTCACCACCTGGCCTGCTCACTGATGTGACTGCTCATTGACCCTCCCAGACTCAGTGGGGTGAAGATATCTCATTCCTAATTGCATCTCACTTAGCAGTAATAAACAGAACACGAATCTGCATTCAACGGTCGATGCTTCCACAGTGTTTCCTCCAATACTCGAGAATCTGCTCCACAGGTAAACGGACTTCTCCAACTGGTGATAGAAATGGTGGTGCCCGTGGTGGTGGGAACCCACACCCACCCTCAGACTCCAACTCGCGCATCTCCGCAGGCCCAACAGCCCCCGCTCCAGTGGCGCAGAGACCCCCGAAGGCCGGCACCTGGACGTTCCCCTTGAGCTATTCACTTAAGAAGAAAAAACAGTCCAGTCTCCATAGGGCACTCTTCTCATCCATTCTGAGAATTGAAAATCAGGCTTTTTGTTTGTTTTGTTTTTAACCTCAAACAGCACTGTTTCTAAACCACGGGGAGTGAATCCAAATCTGAAGACAGAATATGGACTGAACTTCGGGGCTCCCTGGGCTGCTGGCTGTCAGCTCACCTGTGCCCACCTACCCCGTGCCCACCTGCTTTACTTACCATCCTGGAAAGACTTCTCAGTCTCAGCCATGGCCCATGGCAGCCCAGGCAGCCCTTGCCTTCCGCTCTCTGCGAGGGAGCCCCTGGAGGGCGGCAGTGGAAGAGACGCTCTGAAGCCTCAACAGCTCCAGAGACCAGTGGGCAGCCTTTCCATTCCTGTGTGCCGGCCTGACATCCCCCCGCGTGAACTCCCTTGCACACACACGAACACACACACACAGAGATTACCCACACGCCCATTCAAACAGCAACTTAATAACAAGGAACTGAAAAAAAGAAAGGCTATTAGACCCAAATGAGAATCACAAGGTGGATCCCAATGAGAACTGTCTGCAGCATCACACTCACCGCTGTGTCTGAGAACAGGATTTTCCATTTCGGCAGTGGATCTAAACCTGATGCCCAGGACCTGTTTTAAGCAGTGAATCAAAGATCACAGAAGTTAAAGTTTGGCAAGTTTTCGACGTCAAGGAGATGGAAAGCCTAAAATCAGTTTCTGAACCACTAAATTAGAGGGAACAGCCTTGCTCGCGAATTTTCCA